>NC_000010.11:4555454-4706969 GCF_000001405.40 Homo sapiens | reverse complement strand
AACCCTCACCTCAGAATGCTGGAATTCCCATTTAGCTTCCTGAGAAGTAGGAAGTGAGATTCTCCAGACCATCTTTAGAGAAAAAAAGGAAATGAGGGTAAATCGATATCCAGCTTATTTTTCAGAATCCCAGAAGTATAGTATTTAATCCCTTCCCATTTTTTATATCCTGTTCTATGTGGATGTAGTTAGGAATCATATAATGATAGTGGTTAATGAATATCTAATAGTGAATTAATATTTAACATTTCAGTTAGAATGGTAGATACTTTATTTACATTTTCTTATTCAATTGAATTCTTAAGACAATTTATAGATAAGATATTCCTTTTCTTTCTAATTTCCTTTTGAGAAAACAGTATTCAGAGATGTTGAACCATGGATCAAAGTTTACACATCACTAAATAGCTAACATGGGGTTTGAACTCAAACCTTGTTTACTGGAGAGGTTTCCAAGGGACACTACAGATTGGGCCAGCCCTGGCCAACACTGATGTTTTCCTCCTCCTTAATTCCTAAACCATCTGAAAGCTCTGTTCTGTATGGCACTGTAAAAAACAATGAAGAAACTTTGAATGTGCCCTTCAATAAAGGAGATTGAAGAGATGAGTGTTCTAATTTATTTTAAATCGCTGAGCTCTTTGGAAATGGGTTATCAAAAGCAGTGTCCTTAATCTGTGATTTGGACTTATTTAATGAGATTCTAAGTAGGTCTAAGGAGAATGTTAATGTTTCCCTTCCTGGAACTTTATAGCTTTCTACTTTTTAACGTTTCTTCTACATGCTCACTAACCCTTTGTCTATTTTGATGACATTATCCCACAGTGATCGTTCAATGCAGAGCAGCTGAGGAAGACTTCTGTGTCCAGTGGTGCCACAGGCTGGGTCTTGGACCGACCGTCCCCTTGAAAACAACCGAACATGTTGGATAGAACATGAGATTACAGAAGGGTAAGGAGAAGGATGGAAAGGAAGCAGATGACAAGGGAGAAACATGTGGACAGGAAAGAGAATTGGCAAAAGTTTTGAGAAAAACAAACTCAAAAAAATTGTTTTAACATTTAAGTTCAGGTGTACACGTGCAGGTTTGTTACACAGGTAAACTTGTGCCATGGGGGTTTGTTGTACAGATTATTTCATCACCTAAGTATTAAGCCTAGTACTCATTCATTGTTTTTCCTGATCCTTTCCCTCCTCCCACCCTCCACCCTCCAATAAGCCCCAGTGTGTGCCGTTCCCCTTTATGGGTTCATGTGTCCTCAACAAATTAAATTGGCCTTACCATCAAAACAACAAACAAACAAACAAAAAACAATAAAAAAGAAAACTAAAAGCCCCTTTAACAATAAGTAATGTGGCCAGGCATGGTGGCTCACGCCTGTAATCCCAGCATTTTGGGAGGCCAAGGCGAGCGGATCACCTGAGGTCAGGAGTTCAAGGCCAGCGTGGCCAACATGGCGAAACCCCATCTCTACTAAAAATACAAAAAAATTAGCCGAGCATGGCAGTGCACCCCTTTAGTTCCAGCTGTTTTGGAGACTGAAGCAGAAGAATCGCTTGAACCCGGGAGGCAGAAGCTGCAGTGAGCCGAGATGGCACCACTGCACTCCAGCCTGGGTGACAGAGCGAGACTCCGTCTCAAAATAAATAAATAAATAAATAAATAAATAATTTAAAAAATAAAATAAAAAGACAAAAAACAAAACAAAAACAATAAATAATGTGAGCTCGGCTTTCCCAATCTCATGTCAAGACCCATATAAATCAAAAAAATCAAAAGATTCCTTAGACAAGTAATAAAGTTTTTTTCTAAAAGCATATTTAACTTATTACTGTGGGAAATTTTAAAGCTATACGAAGTAGAATATCAAGGATCATGGACCTTCATGCGTCTATGACATAACTTGGACAATGTCAACTCAGGCCCATCTGTCGTCCCCTCCTCCTCTTCTCCATCTAATGGATTATTTTGAAGAAAATTCCAGAAATCAGAGTAACTACAATCATTACTCATTTATACAGATTAGAAATCTTACAAAATAGAAGCACAACACTATTCTTACATCTAAAAACTGAATAATAATTACCAAATCACCAAATTTGTGCCTGTAATCCCAGCTACTCCGGAGGCTGAGGCAGGAGAATCACTTGAACCCAGGTGGCAGAGGTTGCAGTGAGCTGAGATTGCACCATTGTACTCCAGCCTGGGCAACAAGAGTGAAACTCCGTCTCAAAAAAAAAAAAAAAAAAAAAATCTATTCTGTCTTCATTACTGTAGCCTCTTAGTTGGTGATCAAATTTACCTAATGGTTTCAATGGTTTTTAAACCTTTCATTTTTACATACTCAGTTTTATCATTGGTAGTGATAAAACAATATTCCTTTAGTTTCTAGATCCTTTTAGACTATTTCTATGGAGACACCTGAGTAAGCTTTCCAAGCTCTTTATTGCTTATTCATCTTCACCCTGTGGTTCATGGCAAAATTTGCAGGAAATAGTTTGGTCAGTCTATATCAGAGATTGACCACAGATAAGCTTTGAAGAGCATGGCTTGCTATAGCCAGAAGACCATGCCAACTGAGCCTCACATACTGTTTATGAATCATTGTGTGCAACTGTGCATAATCTCAGCTTCCTCCCAGTGTACTGCCTCATGCTTGCCAATTGTGCTCTAACTGCCTCTTGAAAGTATACACCCTTAATCTATTCTACAGGAGGCTTGGCAGCATTCACAGGTATTCCTCAACTTGCTGTAGATGCAGATGTCTGTGTTACTTCAGACTGCTTGCAGTGCTGTAAAAACAGCATTACATGGCGATTCTCAATGGCATAAGAGCTGTGCAAAACTATTATGCCTGAACTTGAATCACAGGATATGATTCAAAATGGACAAGGGAAATAACAGGAACTGTTTAGACGAGCATTTGTAAAAACACTCAGCAGTGACTTTTCTCCTTTGTCCTTTTTAAATTGTTAATCTCAAAATTTTAAAATCTGAAATCCTCCTTATTTTACTAAAGATACATCTAATACTAATCGTAAATAGTATATTAAAATTCGAAATTGAGGCTGAACTGGAAGTAAATTTGTTGTAAGTCATGCTTCGTAAACCATGGCCTTTGGGGTCTGTAACAGTTGGGTAAATACTTCTCAAATTCAGGCAAACAAGACACCTGACAAATATAAATTTAGGAAAGTTACTGAAGCAATTTATGATCAATATAGAGAAATTTAAGAAACAGATAAATACCATTATCCTTAACTCAACTTGGGATTTGCTCACAAAGTATCCTTCTGTTGCTTCTAAAACTTAGTCAATTACATAAACCAGGAGACTTGGCTGTGTGAGAAGTGGGCTGTGTTCATGATACCATGAGTAAAATCTATTTGGCTGGGAGCGGTGGCTCACACCTGTAATCCCAGCACTTTGGGAGGCTGTCTCGGGTGGATCACCTGAGGTCAGGAGTTCGAGACTAGCCTGACCAACATGGAGAAACCCCATCTCTACTAAAAATACAAAATTAGCTGGGCATGGTGGTGGGTGCCTGTAATCCCAGCTCTTCGGGAGGCTGAGGCAGGAGAATCACTTGAACCCAGGTGGCGGAGGTTGCAGTGAGCTGAGATTGCACCATTCTACTCCAGCCTGGGCAACGAGAGTGAAACTCTGTCTCAAAAAAAAAAAAAAAAAAAAAGAAAATCTATTCTGCTTCTATCCCTCTATCCCTCTCCCGCCCCATGAAATTTCAGTTGTCAGCTTCTTGGTGGGCTTGGTCTTGATTTAAATGCAGGAAGCACTTAATTGGCATTTGGGCAACAAAGGCAATAATTTTAAGCTGTTGTAGAAATGAAATATTAATATGAAATCCATTAACAGAAGATGGAGTTGATTCTCGATATCACTAAGAGTGGTCCATTAAACAAGTTACTTCCCTTGAAGTGGCTTCAAAATCCATGACTTAGTTACTTATTCAAACTATCAATTAGGATGGGATATTGTTCTGCACATCTATTGATTCAGATTCCCCAAAATGGAAACCAGAATATGTACATAGATAAAAATATTATAGAATATATAGAAGACATAAAGGGGTCACATTATTCCAGACATATACTGATTTAAAGTAGTTGTTTTCTAAGATGATCATTTATCTTTAATGAATCTTTCAACGTGAATACATCCTTTCTCTTTGAGAAATCATATAAAAGGTAATTGTGGCAAATTATATGTAAAATAATCAAGAATTCTATCACATTAAAAGTCAGGTTTTTTTTCCTGAATGACCATAGTTAAATGATCAATTTTTTAGTATTTTATATTATTTTAATGCAATTTTAAATTTATGGACAGTACAATTCACTTTTCTTTTGTGTCTAATTTGATAAATCCTGATGCATAGTCATGTAATCACCACCATAATCAAGATAAAAAAGAGTTCCTTACCCCCATACAATCTTCTAGTACTGACATTTGTAGTCAAACCACATGCCCATTTGTCCCTATAATTTTGTCTTTTCCAGAATGACATATGAATAGAGTTATATAGCATGTAGCCTTTTAGATCTGGCTTCTTTCCATTGACATAATGCATTTGAAATCCAACCAAGTTGATGAATATCTTAGTAGTCTATTCCTTTTTGTTGCTGAATTGTACCTATTCTATTGTATACATTAACCAGTTTGTTTACCCATTCACAATTGAAGGATTTTTTTCACATCATTTGTTGAAAATGCTGTTCTTTACCCTCGACTTGTCCTGTTACCCTTGTAAAAATAGTCACTTTACCATAAATGCAAAGGGTTATTTCTAGACTTTTAATTCTAATACATTGCTCTGTATGCCCAGCCTGTCTTCATTACTGTGGTCTCTTAATAAGTTTTGAAATTGAGAAATGTCAGTATTCCAAATTTATTCTTTATAAAGATAGTTTTGGCCAATTTAGATAAAGGTTAATACATTTTGTTGACTTCAAAAGTTTTTGGCTTTGTTGGTTACCTCTATTTGATTGCTATTACTTGTTTTATTTATTTTCACTTTAATGGTTCTCATTTCCTTTATTTTGCATGGGTTGGGTTTAGTTTAGTCTTCCTTTTCTAGTTTCTTAAGGTGGAACGTTGTTATTGATGTTTTATTTTTCTTTTTAAAATATTGGCATAACAGCAATATATATTCCACTGAGTACTGTTTTCACTACATTCCATATGCTGTGGTATATTGTGTTTTTGTTTTCATGAATCTCAATATATTTCATAGCTTCCCTTGGGATTTCTTCTTTGATGTATTAATTATTTAGGAATGTGTTAATCTCTGCACACTGCAAATTTATAAATTTTTCTGATTTATTTCTGTTATTGATTTTTAATTGTATTTCATTTTGATTGTAGAATAAACTTTGAATGGTTTTGATCCTTTTAAACTTACCGATGTATAATTTATGCTTACCATATTGTCTATCCTGGATAATGTTTACATGTACTTAAGAAGAATGCATTCTGCTGATTTGGATAGAGGGTATTATAAATCAGCTGTACCTTCCTTTGTTAAATGTCTTATAATTTTTTGTTGAAAACTAGAATTTTAAATATTGTTCAACAAATCTATCAACAGGATTTTCCCTTCCTCCCTGTGGTTTATTATTGTCTCTTTTGTTATTGCTGTTGTCGCTCTTTGTTTGTTTAGTGACTTCCCAGAACGAATTCCATAGTCTCTATTCTTTGCCATGTGCAATCACTAAGGCCTCCACTCAGTTTGTTGATGAGCTAATGACAGGTCACAAATTTCCTGAAATTCCTTGAACCAGTAAGTCTCTCACCCTCTACTGAGAAGTTCGGTGCATGTGTTGGGTTATGCCTTCACTTTCCAGCAGTTCACAAATCTGCCTCACTCTTCATTTCTTGTTTGAATGGAGTCTCAAGGACGGCCAGAAGTGAGAGGTTGAGGTGTTCTGAGGTCTTTCCTGGCACACACTTAGCCCTGTACAGGGGCACAATCTAGATTTCCAAGGGTGAGGTAGAGCTTTTCAAAGTCCTTAAGGTACAACTAATTCCCTATATATATTTTTTAGGCTTTTGGACAGATTCTTATTTGCCTCAATTATCATTGCTACCTCAGGCACTATTCTTATTTTTGCTTTTTTTTTTTTTTTTTTTTCAAATAACACAGGGCATTTCTCACTAACTGAGCTCTGAGGTCAAATAAAGATAAGGCCTGACAAAGATGCTTTTCTTGGTTGCTGTTAGACAGGACAAATGGTTTCAATTCTCCTGGAATAGGGAATTTCAGGGTAATCCGAAGATGGTCTTCCTCTTCCAGAGACTGCCAGGCTTCTGATTTTTAAAACTGCCATACTGCTTATGCTTCTGGTTGTCAAGAGTATCAAGAAACTAGGGAGAGGAGGATGCGAATAGGGCAAGTTTAAATGTCACAAAGCTTTTATGAAGAGTCAGCCTTTTTCTGGAATAAACACTCTGGAGAATGCTGCAAGTCTTTTGTTTATTTCTACAGTTCTGAAAAGGCTGATTGCAATGATTTTTTTTTTCTTTGCCAGTGATCTTACTGTTATTTTGGAGGAGAGGATTTTTGGAGGTCCACTATTTTTTAAGTACTCTCTTTGATAATGTCGATTTATGGTAAGTTTCAAATCAGGTGAAGTGGTTCCTCCAAATTTGTTCTTCTTTTTTAAAAGAAGTTTAACTACTTTACTTCATTTCCCTTTTTATATAAATTTGAGGATCAGCTCTTTAATATCTAAAAAGCATCCTGATGGAATTTTAATTGTTTTTGTATCATATTAAATGTATTTGCATTAAATCTAGATCCATTTAGGGCCAATTAACTTTCTAAAATGAGGTCATCAGATTCATATCTATAGTATATCTCTCCATTTAGGTAGGTCTTCATTTATTCTGTCATCAGTGTTTTGTTGTTCTGAATATACCAATCCCACACATAATTTTAACACCTAAATATTTTATTTTTGTTAGTTTCATTTTATTTATTTTTAAAATTTATTACTTTTTTATTGACAAATGAAAGTTGTATATATTTATGTTTTATAACGTGATGTTTTGAGCTATGAATTCATGGTAGAATGGTTAAATTGAGCTAATTAACATTTTTTATGATGAGAACATTTAAAATCTACTCTTTTAGTGACTTTTAAGTACAGAGTATTTCATCCAACATAATGTTCTCCAGTTTCTTCCATGTTGCAAAAATGAAAGGCTTCCCTTTGTTTTACTGCTGAATAATATTCATTGTGTATATATCACACATTTTCTTTATCCAACTATTGTTGATGAACCCTTAGGTTGATTCTGTATCTTAGCTACTCTGAATATTGCCACAATGGACATGGTAATGCAGCTATATTTTCGAGATATTGATTTCATCTCCTTTGGATATGCAAACCCAGCAATGGGATTGCTAGATCATATAATAGTTCTATTTTTAATTTTTTCTGGAACCTCCATACTGTTTTCCATAATGGCTGTACTAATTTACAGTCTTACCAACAGTGTACAAGGGTTCCATTTTCTCCATATCTTTGCCAACACTTGTCATCTTTTGTATTTTTGACAATAACCATTCAAACAGGTATGAGGTTTTATGTCTTGTGGTTTTATTTTGCATTTCTTTAGTAATCAGTGATGTTGAGCTTTTTTTTATATATATCTGTTTGCCATTTGTATTTCTTCTTTGAAGAAATGTATATTCAGGTTCTTTGCTCAATTTTAATTGGGCCACTCTTGAGTTGTTTGGATTTCTTATATATTTTTGATATTAAACCCTTGTTACATGTAGAGTTTGCAAATATTTTCTCTCATTCTATAAGTCATCTCTTCATTCTGTTTGCTGTTTTCTTCACTGTACAGAAGTTTTTAGTTTGATGTAATTTTATCTGTTTATTTTTGCTATTGTTGCCTGTGCTTTTGGAGTCATATTCAAAAATCTCTACCCAGACCAATATCATGGAGCTTTTCCAATATGTTTTTTTCTAGTAGTTTTAGTTTCAGGTTTGATGTTAAAATCTTTAATCCATTTTCAGTTGATTTTTGTATATGGTGTGAGATAAGGATCTAGTTTTATTGTTCTGCATGTGAATATTCAGTTTTTCAAACAACGTTTATTGAAGATACTGTCCTTTTCCCATTGTGTGTTTTTGGCACCTTTGTCAAAAATGAATTGACATTAAAGGTGCCAATTTATTTCTGAGACCTATCTATATCACTATATTTACAGTGGGTTTCTTGCAGATACCTTACCACCATACAGTCAAGTCTTTTTGTTTGTTTGTTTTAATTCGATTTGTCAATCTTTATTTTTGATTTGGTGTGTTTAGATTATTTAAATTTAATGTAATCACTGATTTGGTTAGATTTAATTCTAACATTTTTATTATTTTCTGATTGTCATTTTTTATTTTTTTATTTCTCTGGTTCTTCCTTATTATCATGGACTGAAGGTTTGAATCTTCCTCAGATTCATATACTCAGGCTGTAATTTCCATTGCTACTATATTGAAGGTTAGGGACTTTATGGAAATAATTAAAGTTACATTAGTTTATAAAGGTGAGGCTCTAGTCCAATAGGACTGGTATCCATGCAAGAAGAGGAAAAAAAACCCAGCACTGTCTCTCTGTGCACACACAGAGAAGAAGCCATGTGAGGACACAGCAAGAAGGTGTCTGTCTGCAGGGAAGGAAGAGAAGGCTTGCCAGAAACCGCAGCTGCTAGTATCTGGATTATGGATTTCTGGCCCTCAGAACAGTGAGAAACTAAATGTCTTTTGTTGTTTAATCCACCCAGTCTGTGATATTCTGCTATGAGAGTCAACATCAAGTAATATACTTGCCTTCATTTTTTTGCTTTTATACATACTTTTAAATATTTCATTTAACATGTGCTGTGTTTTAGCTATATCTCTTTTTACTATTTTAAGTGGTTGATCAAGAAATAAAAATATACCTGTCTAATGTCACGATTTTCTTTCAGTTATTATTTTACCTCCCAACATAGCAGACTTGCAACCAAATAGAATCATTTGGCCTCCTCTTTTTATTACAGTTGCCATGTGCATTACATCTGTCTATTTATCTATCAGTTATCTATCTATCTATATCTATCTATCTATCTATCTATCTATCTATCTATCTATCTATCTATCTATCATCTATCTATCTATATTAAACTGCCCCAGACAAGATTAGAACTTTTGTTTCCTAAGGTCATGTATATTTCACAGCTTTCTAGCAGTAGAAAAATATTCTATTACTTTGACCCAAATATTTACTATTTGTTTTGTTTTGTTTTGTTTTGTTTTGTTTTGTTTGAGAGAGGGTCTGGCTCTGTCCCCCCGGCTGGAATGCAGGGGGGTGCGATCTCGGCTCACTGCAGCTTCAACCTCCTGGGCTCTAGGAATCCTCCTGCCTCAGTCTCCCAAGTAGCTGGGACTACAGGCACATATCACCATGCCCACCTATTTTTTTTTTTTTTTTGTATTTTTTGTAGACATGGGATTTTGCCATGGTGACCAGGCTGGTCTCGAACTCCTGGGCTTCTGGGTTCCTCCCACCTCAGCCTCCCAAAGTGCTGGGATTACAGGCATGAGCCACCAAGCCTGGATGATATTTGCTATTTTTGTTGCTGTTCCTTCACACCGGGATTTTGAAGATTCCTTCTGGCATAATTGCACTTTAGTTCTTTTAGCATTTTTTTAATAGGCCTTCTGCTTGAGATAAATTACCTTAGATTTATTTAACGTGAAACTGTATTTCACAAAACAGTCACCCTCATGCCATTCTCATGCTCTTCTGGCCCTTGCCCATCCTCCTCAGACAGCTTTCCCTTCTGCATTCTCCATTTCTATTGGCAAAACATCCGAATTTCAAACTTGGGAGCCCACTTCTGCTCCTTTCTCTCCCTCATCCATGCCCTAGTAGCTACTATCTCACTATTATTTAGAATGGAAAAGAGCACATCTATTTGAGAAACATTTATGTTAAGTGAATAGGAATTACTGATGTGTGTCTTTGACATTAACCCATGAGCAGTGGTGTGCCTGTTTTATTTTGGTTTTGTTCTGTATCTACAGCTATTACAGCTCTATCTGTATCTACCTATGGCTATTATATTTATCTCTACGTATATATAAAATGTGCACCCATGTGTTATTTATGTAAACATACACACACTCTCACATGTATGTGTGTATCTATGTATGTATGTATATAATATACACACACATATTTATATACTGTAAATCTATTCATTCAGCATCTTATTCTTGGCTGTGTTACTATTAAGAATTCTCCATGTAGGTATATTTTTCTCTTTCAACTTCAGGAGACAAAATGAGAGAGCATCGTAACATTTTAAGTCAAAAATAGAATTTAGAATGAAATGTTCTAGCAGTTATCTTGTAAAGGATTTGGATATTTTTATATTATTTATTAAACCATGAAATGACATTATCTGAGAGTGTCCTACAACTTCAGCTGTTGTAATTTCACACCTCATGGTGGCCTCTGATTTCAAGGTTCCAGTGTGCTTTAGGGAAGCTTCTGCAGAACCAAATCCAGCATAATAGTTCAAAGGGGCCAGTTTGATGCCAGCAAAATGAACTAGAAAATTGAGTCAATTAACAGGAGAATTCAGGATAGATTTTCCCACTACATATACAAGACAAACATGAGTTTTACAGGACTGTGTAAATGACGGAATTGGTGGCTCGTTAAATGGACCTGTGGTTAGCATGGGAAACAAGAGGATGGGGCATCTCGTTGGGAGAAAAATTAGTGCTTTATCAGCTGCTCGCATCCAATGCCTGCACCAGGCTGGTACCTTAACAGCTGCTCACCACTCAGAGATACCAATCACGGCCCTATCAAACCCCCATTCTCTCTCCAGATCAATCAGTGTCTCTTCCAATCCTCCCTAACTGTGGTCTGGGTGACAGCCCCTTCACTTTGAATTTGATTCAGTCTCATGTTTAAGTCTTCACATTCTGTGGCTTCACTTGTGCCCCTCCTGTGATCTGCCGGCAGCTCTAGGTTGGCTGTGCCCTACTCAATCCTTGCTCTTTGTCCCCAGACCCCCAGCCCAAGCCAGATGCGAGACCCTTACATACTCTGAAAACAACGTTCAAACATCTCATGTCTATTTGAACTTTTCTGAAACTGGAAGAAAGGCTGCTATTACTTATTTCTCTTTTGTAGATGGAGAGTCAGGATTTGGCAAAATTAATTTGCAGATCTTAAACAGAGGCCTTCTGACTCCCAGGCCAGCACATCTTACATAAAATGACTCTGCATCCCATTATAGCCCTGAGTGAAGAGTTCTTGGCCTTCAGAGCCCTTCTTGGGGTCACTACTGAATTTAATATAGGGTCTTTCTGGCCATGTGATGTTTTAAAATTTGTATTCTAGGTATTTTTTTCTGGATATGAAACTCAGACTCAGTTCACTTCATTTTCATTCACTCAACACACTTCTTTTATTAAAGTGGTCTCTTTGGTAAGCCACAGAATGCACAATGAACAGCAGAGGCTGGTGTGTGGAAAGTGACAACAGAATATGTCTTTGCAGCCATCAGAATATGATGGTATTATGAATTGTGGAATAGTTGAGAATCCCATAATGGGCCTAAGGATGAACTGTTAAACCTAAGCTATATGTCAAAGAGAAGTTGTTTGTATACTAGATATCTATTTAACCTCCAACTGAAGGGAATAAAATACCAATTTTCATAACTAAATTTCAAATTATTTCATGGTGCTTTTCCAGAATTTCCTGATGTCTCATAGGGAGCTCGTATTAATATGATAATGTAGAAATGTAAAATGAGGTATATGGCATTTTCAAATACGTGCTTTATTTTTCTTTGGGAAAGTATATTATACTGTTGGGCTCATTCTCATGAAATTCATTGGCATGTGCATGTTACCCATCACCCAGAAGCAGCTGGCCTGAGAGATCTGATGGGATGCTGTTGTTGTTCATTTTTGTTGCTATAAAGGAATAGCTGAGACTGGGTAAATTATTATTATTTTTTAAAAGGTTTATTTGGCTCATGGTCCTGCAGGCTGGCAAGTAGCATGGTGCCGGCACCTGTATCTGGTGGGGGCCTCAGGCTGCTCCCAGTCCTGGTGGAAGGCAAAGGAGGTAAAGCTTCAATGGTGAGAGAGGAGGAAAGAGATGGGAGGAAGGCACCAGGCTCTTTTCAACAACCAGCTCTCAGGAGAACTCTTGCAGGAATTAACAGAGTGAAAATTCACTCATTATCATGAGGACAGCACCCAGTCATTCATGAGGGATCTTGATCCCTAACACTTCTAATTAGGCCCCACCTCCAACATTTGTTCCATCAAATTTCAACACGAGGCTTGGAGAGGTCAAATACCCAAACTATAGTGTATGTTTCTTTGTGAAGATTAAGTGATGCTTCTGTCTTGGTGGCAATGCCTCCTAGAACCGGAATAATATTTTTCAGGATGTGCTGTACACTCTAGATCAATGACCAATATATTAGTTTTTTCCAAAGCTAGAATCCATGGGTCCAAGATTGAAGGGGTGAAAATGGGAGTGATTTATCTCATTATTGCTCCTAGCGATTCACTGGCAAGACATTTTGCTTCTTCTTCCTGTGATATTGGGATCTTCTGGTCCCCAAAAGAGGTATGGGATTGTGATACTGTCATTAACCTGGGATTTAAGACAGGCTCTTAGCTTGGGTTTCCATAACAAACCACAGACAACGTGCCTTAAGCAACAGACAAGTATTTCTCACAGTTCTAGAGGCTGGAAGTCCAAGGTCAGAGTTCTTGCTGATTTAATCTCTGGTGACAGCTCTCTCCTGGCTGATGGATGGCCAGCTTCTCCCTGTGTCCTCACATAGTGCAGGGGGACAGAGAGATAGAGAGACAGAGATGTTAAGAGAGAGAGAGATTCGGTGTTTCTTCTTATGAGAACGCTAATCTTATCAGATCAGAGCTCCACCATTATAACCTAATTTACCCTTAATTACATCCTTATTCCAAATACCATCATGCTGGAGGTAAGAGCTTCAACATATTAGTTTGGAGTAGATGCAATTTAGCCCATAGCAGATGGACACCAGGCCCCTTTGGGATCTCATGCCAGTGAAGCAACAGGCCAAGAAGAGTGTTCCTCTACTAGAGTAGTAGAGGTCGTCAAGGAAGTGCTGGTCAATGCTGCTCAATTAACCAATAATTCCTTCCTATGGTCAAGGAAATGCTGGGTTTATATCCAAAGAGGATAAGTAGATGTGTGTTTGAAATTATGAAATCACCTGGGGTGCTTGTCATTACTTCCATGTTCTATAAAACCGGCTGTTGTTTAATTTTTCAATACAATGCTACAACTCAATACAGGCAGGCCTCCTAACGGTGTAGAACCTTCTAAAATGAAGAAACCAGCCATTCTACAAGGCAGGGAGCCACAGTTAGCTATGGTGCTTTCCAGGAGAAAAGAGAATATGAAAGGGGCTGTGGAAGAAGCAAGTTACCATTATCAACTATGATCATGTGAGCAGTGGCAGAAAGAAGGACTTGAACAGTGTTGAATATATTTTTCCTGGCCAGATGCAGTGGCTTGTGCCTGTAATCCCAGCACTTTGGAACGCTGGGGAGGGCGAATCACAGGGTCAGGAGATTGAGACCATCCTGGCCAACATGGTGAAACCCATTCTCTACTAAAAATACAAAAATTAGCTGGGTGTGGTGGCGCGTGCCTGTAATCCCAGCTACTCAGGAGGCTGAGACAGGAGAATTGCTTGAACCAAGGAGTCAGAGGTTGCCGTGAGCCAAGATCTCACCACTGCACTCCAGCCTAGCAACAGAGTGAGACTCCATCTCAAAATATATATATATATATATATATTTCCTTATGTTGATTTGTGTATATATTAACCAACTCTTTCCTTTTATTCCTTTCTTTCATTTTTATACAATTTAAAATAAAATATATTAATAATAATTAACTTTATATCTCTGTATTTAAGTTACAGGATATCAATGGAGGACTGAGAGGACTCAGCTAGATGAATGAACTTTCACCTAAAAGGATTTTGTGGCCCATTTTTTGAAGAGCGTTAAGAGGTACATGGTTGTATGTAAAACAATTGCATAATATTAAACAAAATGCATGATTTTGCTGTTTTATTTAATTGGAAGTTGTCTGCTGAGGAGTATCATGTGTGAATGCCAATTAACAAAGCGTGCATCGTGGTCATTATACACTGTACCGACGTAGTTAACTAGAAAAGGAATCTGCCAATTATGGCCCGAGGGATAGATTCTGCCCACTCTCTGTGTTTGTAAATAAAGTGTTATTGAAACATAGCCATACCTACTCATGTGTCTGCTATCTATGGCAACTCATGCTCTAGAATGGCCTGGTTGAGTAGCTGTGACAGAGACCGTATGCTCTGTAAAGCCTAAAATGTTTGCTATCTGGCTATTTACAGAAAATTGCCTGTATGTACATCTATATTATATGTATATCACGGTCATGATTGCAATAATTTATGAAACTCTACTCTGACAATGTCTAAGTCCTTACTCACATTGGTGTTTCTGTCATCCAAACATAGTCATACACATAAACTTTATATAGCCATTTATACTGCCTGCATGCCTTCCTTCCTTCCTTCACCTTCCTTCCTTCCTTCCTTCCTTCCCTTCACCTACCTCCCTTCCTTCCTTCCTTCCTTCCTTCCTTCCTTCCCTTCACCTACCTTCCTTCCTTCCTTCCTTCCTTCCTTCCTTCCTTCCCTTCACCTACCTTCCTTCCTTCCTTCCTCCCTTGTCCTTCCTTCCCCCCACGCTCCATCCTTCTCCCTTCTCCCTTCCCGTTCCCCTTCTCCTTCCCCTTCCCCTTCCCTTCCCTTCGCTAAATTGTGGATAAAGAGAGCTATGCAGTGGCAAGTCCATTTCCCCAAAACCTACTCATCTGTTAGGAATGCTGAACAACTCCCTAGCTTCTCCTTCTAGCCCTCCTTTAACACAGACATAGGCTGGAGCATGTTATTTGTTTTACTGAACGGTTTGTTGTTTAGTTTTTCTCCCTTTAGAAAGATTAACAGTGATATAGCTAAGATAACAGCTTTGATTTTTTTGTTTGTTTGTTTTGATTTGTTTTGTTTTGCACACGTTACCTGGTGCTCCTAGAGGAAAGTCTGAAAGCGTTAAGGAGAAAAGATACTAGTCCTGCCTCTTTTGGGACTCCAAAAGCCCCAGGAGCCACAAATGAAAACACTGGCAGTGGGCAGGTGTTGGAGATTCCCCTTGGGCTGGCAGATGTCACCCCATCTATTCTGAATGACGAAGTTCACACCTGCTTGATTGTTAAAATTTGCTTTTCCATATGTTCCATTTATCTGTTGCTATATAAGAAACCACTCAGAATTTAGTAGCTTGGCTTAGGTTCTGCTCACCACGTGTTTCTGCTGCCTTCGGTGTGGGCTGGGCTGACTTGGTGACTTTCAGCTGGTAAATATCTTGGTGATTCAGAATACATATTAAAAAATGTGTCTAGGTAATTTCACTCCCTCCGTGTCTTTGGTAGCTTCAAAATACTTTGATTCCCATCTTTCTTTATCTTCTAAAAGCATGGTCCTCTATAATCTCTGATCTTTTTGTGGATCATATTTATATACAAATGTAAAATCACAGAATTTGTTTCACATTTTATTTGTAAATTTTTATTTTATAATGGGAATTTACCAAGCAAAATGCCAGGTAAATATTAAAATATTCTTATAGTTATGATATTAATATTTAAGGGACTCAAGGAGTTAAAGAAATATTCGTGTGTGTATGTGTGTGTGTGCCTGAGTCAGTTTGAGTGTGTGAGCATATGTGCGTATATGTGAATATATGTGTGTGCATATGTGTGTACATGTTTGTGTGCATATGTACCTGTGATCATGTATGTACATGCATGCATGTATGTGTGCATGTGTATCTCAATCCTGCATCACCTTTCCTTCAATAGTAACAATAGTGGTCATTTCCCCAAAATTATAGTAAAATTATTCTTTTTCTTCTAGTGTCTATTAATTTTACCTGTGGGAATAATTTATTTCAGGGCCATCTAACCTGATATAGGCTGTCTTGCAGAAAATAGATTTAATCCAAGATTAAAAAAAGGAGAATGAATTCTTTCCTGCTACAGGATAAACCCACTATGGCCGATTAAGCTGAAATAGAAGAACTCAGGCAATGGAGTGCTTCAGAAAAGAATTGATTTTTGATATTCATTCTACATATAATCTAATCACTCTCATTCATATCCCTGTAATATACATTTCATTACAGCTTTAAGACGTATCCTTACATAGGAATAATCAGTGAGAAAGGAGAAAATATGTATAAAGTATCAACTTGCTTCTGACATCATGAAAAAAGGTAAAATTCATTTTAAATCCCTAAAATAGTGAGATGTCTTCCTGCCTCATTTTTCTTCCCTTTGCGTCTCAAATCTGAATTCTAGGAGAGGTGTGCATTCCACCCCCACTCCAAAAAAATCCTAGTGGTGGGAAAATCAGGCCAACTGTCAGGCATGTGACTATGTTCAGTTGAGCTCTAAATATCATAAATGTTTTCTTCTATATTTCATATTTTCTACTCTAATAATAATGGTGTCATGAAAATACCAACTTTTTCCTAAAGCACCAAACTATTCTCTAAACTTTAGATTAGTAATAGAGAATCCAAAGGATAACATATTGCTTGATCTATTTGGACAACTTAAATGTAAAAACATAGACTTTCTTGGAAGTTGTAGAATATTTAGAGATAAAGAATATTCACTATTTTATTTAATATATCAAATAAGTATTAATTCCTCAACCTTTCTTTTATTTTTATTGTTGAGACTACATTTACCATAAAATGTGGTAGTTTTCAAATAAACTTCCACGAGGTAAATATTGAAATCAACCAACTTGTATTTTTCTTCTAACCTAAAGACATTATAAAATTCACAAAATTTCTTTTAGTAACAGGAACCAAAAGAGAACATCAAATTCTTTCTCACTGTGTTTCAAATTCAAGTCACAGAGTCATTCAAACAAAATGGAACAAAAATAGAAACAGATTGGCTCAAGTCAGTGAGGGTCCTGGGCTGGGTACTCCCAGCCTAGTCAGTCTGGTGGCCCAGGCAGAGCCTGTAAGACCGTGTCGGGTCCAGTGCTTTTGACGCTTTATCCTGCAGACCGTTCCCCACATCACAGCAGACATCCCCTGAAGCTCCACACTCCCCTAACCTTTGCACTCACGTTCTCAGAGGAGGCTTATGCTCTGTTTTGCAGCGCCCATATTAAACCTCAGATATATTGTTTTCTAAAGTCATGCTTTTGTGTCCAGACCAGGAAAAGAAAAACTCATTGCCAGTCTGTGCCATGTCCACCCTGTGTTCAGTGACATTGAGATGCACTAGACCAGGCAAGAAGAGTTCTCAGCAGGAAGGCAAGGAAGGCTAATATCCCCCTGAAAGAATAAAGAGGAGGAATGCTGTGCAGGATAAAACAGATTATGAAACTTTAAAGGTGAAATGATTTTTACAAATACTCTATTTTAAGTATCTCATGTTATAGATGAGAAAACCGAGGTACCTGGAAGATTATTTGACTTTCCACAGTTGTGTTGTAAGCAGTGACCCCCGCAAGAAGAGAGTACTTCCTTCTGGTTGCTCCTTCTGAAACCTTGCAAAAATTTTTGAAGATAATATATATGGGACATGTTAAGGAGAAAGTTATTTGCTTTATTTATCTATTTGATTTATACTTAGGTTTTTCTATGGGATGCTTCCTTGTATCTCCAGTATTCACCTCAGCCCAAGCTTACATCTACATGAGTGTGTGCATTATATGTATTGCATATTGTGTAGCAGGTTCACGGTGCCTGCTTACCCACTTACCTGAGTCCCATAAGACAGAACACACTCACACACAGCATGTTGCATGAAGTAGGTTTCACTCACAGATAGGCAGCAAGGGACAACAGAGGCCTAGGATTTACAGTAAGCCAGTCTTCCAAGGCTCAAGAAAGCTGCCGAGGGAGATAAGAGTCTCATCTGAAACTACCCCACTCTCACTACTGCTGAAAGCAGCTTTGTCTTAGGTTTTATACTCTAGGGTCATGTGATTATCTCAGCTACAGTGCTGAAAGATTTCCTGTTTTAAGGGGGAACTAGAACAGAGCCCAGGCTATTGCTGCCAGCCAGGGATGTTGTATTCCCAGCACATTCTACAGTTATTCTTGAGACCTATAAGTGAGAAAGGAGGGAGAAATTCCTGCATATGTGTGTGTGTGTGTGTGTATGTGTGTGTGTGTGTATGCATGTAAATGAGAGAGATAGATCAATCCACATGGTGATTCATTTATTTAATGCCATGAAAGATAAAGCAATTATAACATTTGCATCTAGAACTTAAAATTAACGGCCCTTGCCATTGAATAGATTACTTTTCTCTCTAAATTACTTTCTAGCAGTATTTACACACCTACAGAAACATCTCTCAGAATAGAAGAAAGCATTCAACCAGATCCTTATCACAAACTCTAATCCCTTCCAGCTGCTTATAGTAAGACACAAATATGTATCATCCACATGGACCCACCGATGTGTATTGAAGATCCACATACACAGTTAGAGGAAACATTCAATTTTCCATATGCCTTCTATCTTCCCCGTTTCTGATCCACAGGCCTTGTGGATTGACAGAGACATATAATACAATATGCATTTGGCCTTGTAATCTTTCTAAAAAAGCCTGGAGTCACTGAGCTCAAGGAATGAGTTGGAAGGACAACTTCATTAAACTGAAACGCTGAACAAACACCAACGAAATAAACCAGAAGAATTTCAAATAACTGGACCTTTTCCCTGAGCCATCCCTGACCCTTTCAATACCAGGTCCCAAATGAAGAAGTAAATAAACAGCACTTTGAGGTAAATGTCAGCACCTTATTGCAGAAACTTCTATTGCAGGACGTACCTTCCAGATGTCTAATAAAAATTATAGCAACCCCAAGCATCACCTGATCTTATTGTCACAACTTTGAAAATTTTTAGAGTATTTATACTCAACAGTACAAATGTGTGTGAGCATAAACACATGGACACATATATAAATAACTTTGTATATGTATATATGGCAAAAGGTGTAAATATGTGATATATCCAAACCCACTTGTACTCTTTGGAGAACTCAGTAGTAGACAGCAAAGTCGTGATGCCTTCAAGATTCAGCAGGTCCTGTGATTCCACAGGAAACCAGCCAGTCCGGCAGTTGACAGGCACTGGATTCCTGCTGCAGTGGCCGGGTGGGGAGAATTACCTACAACATTAAGGATCCAAGTGGAAAGAACTAGCAGCCAGCCTGACTGCATCTTGTCCTAATCAAAAGCATGTGAGGTTTTTCACATCTCCATTTGTCTCTTGTTTAACATATGATTTGGACATTTTGGGGAAGAAATCTAATTTCAAAATTGTGTACATATGTTTATTGAGAACTCTCATGCTGTTGGAAAGCACATCACTTTGAATGACATCTATCTTGTGCACTACCTACTGGGAGGCTCAGCAATCTTTTTTTTCTGTAATCATTTTCTTTCAGCAGAAAATATTATACTGTTTCTGAATAACTAGCAGTTACATACTATATAAACTGTGCACTATATATACTATGTGCTCTCTAAACCAACTATGTCATAAATGTTGGTACTGCATATTTATGTCAAATTAATGTGGTTTACTGAATTTTTCTATTCCCTGCCTAGGGTAAAACCCAAAATATATAAATATTTCTCCCTAAGTTTTCCCTCTCTGCATAAGCTCCAGATAAACTGTAAAATTGTTTTCTTTATTTTAGCATATTTCAAGTTCATGTGTAAAGACATATACCTGAGGTCTTGGCTTATCCTATCTAAATCTCTCACAACTTTCAGAGTAAAAACTTTGATAATTCCCTACCAATCATTACCCAAGAATAAAACTAAAAATAACTTGAAGCGATTTATCATGTATCTGAGTTTCAATACCAGACACAATGCTCACCAGACTGAGAGAAGTTGCAATGAAATTCCACTGTGATGAGCACGTAGTTCAGGTGGGAGGATGCAAAGCAACCACACACTACGGTCTTTGTTCCTTCTCAACTTTAATACGTGATTCAATCTTTCCACAGCCTGGGAAATTCACCTAACTAAACCTAATGAAGAAAACCTATGTTGTTGGTAACCAAATACTGAGTTGGAGATCAGAGCTCAGATTCCTGCTCTAAGTTATCAGCAAAAGCAGTAAGTTACACATCATTCCATTCCTACATGTATTTATAATTTTTTTCTACTTTTATCTATCAATCAATCAACAGCTATTTTAATCTATTCTGTGAAAGACCCTGTGCTCATCCACCTAGCAGATACAGAGAAGCATAGAAAGAAGCCTTGCTGTCATGGAATTTATGAACTAGATAAGAAGATACAGTAACAGCCCCAGTCCCGTGTCAACATCTGTAAATGTCCTTCCAAGTGCTTCTGCAGTCAGTACACACAAGCTATCCTACACGTAGCTTCTATAGTATAATTACAAGCTAGTGTAAAGCTATATGTAATTTATAAATACAAAATAAAAGATGCAATTAATGTTGTATGATCTCAGAGTTGTGAGTAATGTTTAAATTAACGCATGTAGGAGGTCAGACATAAATTAGGCTCTGCGGAATGTGTGGGGCTGATTTAAAGGTAAATGCCCCTGAAGTGTCCTCTCATGTCACTGCTGACTCTGCAACATCATTCCCCATAGGAATTTACATTTCTAGAGCTCACTTTTGGGTTGTTTCCAAAACAGCTTGTTTCAGGAAAGTGAATTGGAATAATCATGGTTGGTTTTCAGTTGTGTGCAACAAATCGGTTTTCATCTGATGACCCTTTGTACTCTTCCTATGACCCTACACAACTACACAGCTTGATTATTCAGTTAAAGAAAGAAGGCTGAGTGAGCAAAGAGAGGCCACAGGGTCCTAGTTCATAAAACTTTGCAGGGACAAGAAAGTGAATTGCAATGTTTACTAGATAGACATGTGTCCAGCAAAATTCATCAAACTCCCTAAGAGGAGTTATTGTAGGAACTACAGGGCAGCCTTGCCGTGGCTCACAAGGCCCTGCCCTCAGACCCTCCTTCCAACACTTCCAAAGTAGTCCAGCCTCAGAGCCTTTGTGCTTGCAGTTTCCTCCACCTAGAACACTCTTCCCCAAGATATCATCTGTTCTCATTTCCTCATTTCCTTCACTTTGGCTAAAACGTCACCTCTGCAGTTAAGACTTGTTTTACGTCCATCTTAAAAATAGCCAAGGGCACAGCTGTTTTCCTCATCAATCACTGGCCTCACTTTATTTTTCTTCATTGCATATATTGAATCATGACTTCTACTTTTTAATCTGATGTTTATATATCTACTCCTCTCTGTCCCCACCATCTGCCCCCACACACATACCATGAAGCCATGGAAGTTAGGTATTCTGTTTTCCATTGCTCTTTCCCTAAAACCTAAAATATTGACTGGCACCTACTGGGGTCTTGAAAGTACCTGTTAAATGAATGCATTACAAGCTAGTAGGAATCACAAAACAGTCCATTTTGGGGTGTGTGATATTTCCAAAGCATTGAAACATTCCAGATCAGAAACCAGAAAACTGCGCAAATGCTGCTATTGTCACTTGCAAGTGTCTCTTTCATGGAGAGACACTTAATCTGTGAAAAGCTCACCAAATCCAACCCTCTGGATACTTCAATCGATTTATTGTGTTGTGTATGTTGTTCTCAGCGATGCTGCACTGAATACTGGCATGCCCCAGAAAGAACATGAAGTCATCTAGACACAGATTGTTGTTATTGTTGTTGTTAACTACATGGAGATGACTTGGAAATTGGATTGATCTATTACTTATATCAAAACAGGGGCTGTTTGCTAATGCTGCCCCTGCTCTTCAGGGCTGCTCTGGTGTCCCTGAGGCTTACTAAATCTCCTTGCATGCTTTGCATTTTTGGCCCTTCCTTCCAGTTGCCTTGACCATCAGAGGTTATTCTTCCAATGAAAGATCACTTGATAGAGATACCTATAAAATGTTTTCCTCTTGCTACAAAGAGTCACAGCTGGCTTTGTCTCCCAATCCCTGCTGGTATTTTTCCATTCTTTTTAAATAGAACTATAAAGAATACCTAGCATTTCTACTGATGCTATTGTTTACATTAAAAGAAATTAGAATGTCTAAATGGAATGCCAGAGACTCCTTCAAGTAAAATTATATTATTGTATTCATGTATTCATTCATTCACTCAACAAACACTGATTGTGTCACTGGCATGAGTCACATGGTATGGTAAGTGCTCATGCTTGAAGATGGATTAAGATGCAATCTCTATTGTAAAACAAACTATTGTCTGAATGGGAGTGGGGCTATGGTAGCCCAATTTTTTCTTTTTTGCAATGATCCAGGTAGAAGAGTCCTGGAGACAGAGTAGTCATTAAGTCAGCCCTCTCTTCTCTTCTTGAAAGCCCCTCAACCAAGTAGGTAGTACTCTCATGTAGCCACTTGGTGACGTTTGATCTGATTTGTGTCCCTTTTTTTGCCCCTTTTCAGTACTGGCCCATACTCCTTCAAAGTCACCCAGACCCTCCTTTCAGCCATCTGTTAAGGTTACAAAGCAATTCAATCACTCCTTCATGTAGTGACTGTCAAAGATGGTTGTGTTACATGTCATAAATTTAACCATTATTAAGGACTCCCAAAGTGCTGTGCTGAGCCTCAACCAGGTACTTTTAGTGATGCAAACTTGGAGGCTCCTGGAAGACAGTCAATAAAATAATTTTAGATGAGGGGAGACTCATTCTAAACATGATTCATCCCTCAGTACCACGGTGGTAATCTGCCTTTAGGAATCAAGTAATGTCTCATTGAAATTTGAGGACAACGCCGGGATCATTGGCTTATGCCTGTAATCCCAGCACTTTGGGAGGTCGACGCTGGCTGATCGCTTGTGCGCAGGAGTTCAAGACCAACCAGGGTAACATGGTGAATCCCGTCTCTACAGAAAATACAAAAATTAGCCAGTCATGGTAGCATGCACTTGCAGTCCTAGCTACTCAGGGACTGAGGAGGGAGGAGCACTTGAGCCCAAGAAGTTGAGCCTGCAGTGAGCCATGATCATGTCACTGAACTCCAGCCTGGTGAACAGAGCAAGAGTCTGTCTTAAAAACAAAAAAGAAATAAAAGAAAGAAAAAGAAAATTGAGGTTAAATGAATACTATATTGATCCCAATAGTTATTCTTAAAGGTACTGTCTTTCAATATCCTCACCCATCTAATCCATAATGTTTTCTCCTCTCTTTCAAGCATCATTTAAAGTATTTCTTCAGTTTCCAGGGGGCAAAAAGATTACTGAGACTGCTCTGAAGTCCAATAATCATAAACAAAAATACAAGAGTGGCATCACTGCTAGGCAAAATTTATATCCAATAAGGAGACTCAGGCTTTCACAAAAGACAAATTCATGGCTTCCTGTTTTCAAAAAGGGAAGTGAGTAGGTAACTTTCTCTACAGGTGTGTGTCCAGCTGGACTTGAGAGAAGTGTAGCAACCAGGCAAGGGCCAGGGGATGGGGTAGAAACAGAAAGCCCCATTGTCTTCACCTTTGCCACCTCTTCTAATTGAGATCTAAAAATTCTTCTTTTCTCTCATTCACTTCTGGTAAAAAATCCACGTGCACCAGGAAGGCATGACACGTTGATGGAAGTAGCTCTTCATACTTCAGTGTGAATTTAAAAAGCTGATTAAAAATTTAACAAAAGGAAAGAATAAGTAGGGAAGTGCTGGTCATTTGACAGGAGGATACTCCCTGGTAAAAAAGAAGCTTATGGGTATAATAATAAGTGGCATTCACGACAAAACACACAGGGAAGTTGCTTAAGAGCCACCTAGCTCATTTGAACAACAACTCAAAGATCATATTAAATGGTAAGCAGAAGACATTTAATTCCTTACTCGAACAAAAGCTAACATGGCCCATATTTATTTACATGCTTGTACTGCATTTCCAAAATGATAAAAATATTCCCCTTTTGTTGTCAAGATATGAGTGCTTGCATTCAAAACAGGCTTAATGCCTATCAGTCCATTGAAGCTCATTAGCCAAGAGATGATTACTACCTTAACACGAACGATGTATATCTTAGCATGCTTTATTCAGCTAAAAGGAGTTTTAATCCTCATGCATTCTGACTATGATCTGATAAAAGTTTAATGATACATTAGAGCAGATGCTTTAGATTTATTTCTATGAATACCAAAGCAAGCCTTGGTTGAAATAATCTAGCCATTATCTTTTTGGGTCTTACATAGTTTTCCATGACTTATGTTATTATTTCTGTGTTTTTGCAGTTATCAGCAGAAAGTAGTTCCCATAGCTTTAGAATTGGTTATTTGTGTTTGTTGTTGGCCTTAAAATACTGTATTAATTCACATAGGGACACAGACAGATGTATGTTTGGATGTTGAGCTGTAATTTTTCATGAGCTGTTACAATAGAGTCTCATGGCTTCCGCTCGAACTTCATTTCCCTCTTCACAGTTAAAGTGAATATAAAACAAACACAAATGCTTATGTGCAGCAATTTTCTCCCACAAATAGGTCTGCAGTTATCTCATCAGGAAGATATATTGTATTTAAGCCTTTATTTGCCCTCTTTCACACCCAGTCAAGGTGGCTTAGGGAGTATCATTTTATCAAGTAGAATTAGAAGCACTTGGTAAGTTGCTCATCTTATGTATAAACCTGAAATTAACCTGTCGAATAGAAAATAATGAGAAACTGATTCAGTTCATCTGATGCTTATTTCTTGTGACTAACCTATCATTTAAAAGAACTAGTAAAACAGACATTTTTGGCCTGAGTTAGCTATATATTTACAATGGTTTTCTATTTCTTTTTGCACTTAAATATTTAGTTCCCTTACCTTTAAAATAGAATGTATTTTAAGAAATATTCTGGGAATGAAATGTAGAAATAACATATTATATACACTTCTGTACTTCTGCTGAAGTTTATAATATTCTGCTTCTTAAATACGGTTTATTATTTTATAATGTTGTTATTTTCACATGTATATTTTACGTGTATATCATGATAGTGTTTTGTGGATAAAAGCCAACATTGCATTCATTTGGGATCCTTCTATCACAAATAGCACAGCACATAATCAGTATATAGTAAATATATAAATAAAATTTATAAAAAATATATTATCCTGTGTAAATATTATATGCTAGGTTCTGAATAAATAAAAAATACAATATTCAAACTGAAAACTGAATGATGACATTCATTAACTGTCTTGCTTTTGAATCCATAAACAAACAATTTATCTGAAGACGTTAGGTGATGGCCGGCCCTAGGGCCGTGACTTGCAGAGTGTCCTTCTTTGAGAGACTTTCTCATTGGAAGCCCAAAACACTGTCCAGGGAAATCAGAGGCCACACCCAGGTCCTCAGAGGCAGACATAATGATCTCTCTGTTAACTATGCATTATAGCCATTGTACCTACTCCTAATATTTTTGTGAAATTTATTTGAATGATCGATGAACCTTTCAGCAAAACCCAAAGAAAAGAGAGAATTCAATTTCTAAAGGAAAATCATACAAGAGAAAATAATTTAGAAATATTTAACAAGATGTATTTACCTGACTCTTAAACTCAGACCTGAAAAGAAGAAACACTCAGGTTTTTTAGTTCAGATGCTTTGGGGGAGCACATACACTAAAAAGTCACATACTGTTTTGAGATAACTTTGATCTCATCAGAAAAACATTTGGTGCCGGGAGCGGTGGCTCACGCCTGTAATCCCAGCACTTTGGGAGGCCGAGGCGGGCGGATCACAAGGTCATGAGATCGAGACCATCCTGGCTAACACGGTGAAACTCCGTCTTTACTAAAAATACAAAAAATTAGCCGGGCGTGATGGCGGGAGCCTGTAGTCCCAGCTGCTCCGGAGGCTGAGGCAGGAGAATGGTGTGAACCCGGGAGGCGGAGCTTGCAGTGAGCCGAGATAGCGCCACTGCACTCCAGCCTGGGTGACAGAGCGAGACTCGGTCTCAAAAAAAAAAAAAAAACCTTTGGGAGAACGTAGCTTCTTCTTGTTCATAGGCTTGTTCAAAAGCTTTTGCTAATGATAAGTGAAAAGCAGTATACTTGATTATTATTTAAACCTCTAGCATGCCTTAAGACAAAATTAGCAATGGGGTAGTGAGGTTGTGAAGTGGCAATGGAGGTGATGCTGGTAGAAGAAGTAAAGGAGAGGAACGAGAGGAAGAGAAATGGTTAATGTGTAATGAGCACATATTTTCTGATGGTCATTGTCGTGCTAATTTAGTCCTCCCTGCCATCCTGTGCGATAGGTTCTTACTTTTGTTATCTTCAATTAATGGATGAGGAAGCAAAGTTTGCAGCAGTGACCAAGTCACTTAACTCAGGTCATTTAGCTTGTTCTCTCTCGCCCGGGGTCCTGGCTCTCCAACCTAAAGCATAGGCCCCATGTACACAGGCTTTTGCATTTTCCAGCGTCTCTCATTTTCCAAGCTGGTTTTTATATTTAAAATGTTATGCCAAAATAATTTTCAGTGATGTAAATGCCTCTCAACAGTGCTGTCTTCCCTGAGGTTACTTTTAACCCAGAGAAATAAAATTCTAATGATCACATTTGTGTCAAGGCTCTGGGAAGATTATCTGCTCAGAAGAACTTTCTAAGGATTTGTACCTTTGTATTCCAGAAGCAGCTGCCCAATTTTGTCTATTCGTTGGCTCTTAGAATATTTCGTCTATTCTTTGGCTATCAGAGAATACTAAGCAAGGAAACAAGCAAAAAATAAACCAACAGGAATTTTGCTGTCTTATTATGTCCTAGTTTCTTAACTGTTTCTGTCTACTTCCCTCCCCACCATATTTCTTTTCATATGTAAGTTTTTAAATATTTGATGATGGTGATGGCGCTACTGAAGTGAAAGATTTATGTATCACTTTTATAGTCCAAAGCAATGCAATTTTCTTGTGATAAGTTAAAATATTAAAGTTAACCATATTTAATTTTAGCCATCAATCTTTCCCTACTCCTGTTTTCAGGATTTTTTCTTTTTTGCAAGAAAAAATGAAATTTACTAGTAAACATTGTTAAAAAATTTTTAGGCAAATTAAATTAATAGAGTTTAATTGAGCAAAGAACAAATTGCTGATTGGGGCAGCCTCCCGAGGCAGGGTAGGTTCAAAGACTCCAGCACAGCCACGTGATGGAAGAAGATTTATGAACAGAAAAAGGACTTACAGAAAATGGACGAGAGGTGCAGAAACACCTAGATTGCTTACAGCTCTGCGTTTGCCTTATTTAAACATGGTTTGAACAGCCGGCCGCCTGTGATTGGCTGAAACTCCATGATTGGCACAAGAGTAGGTAGGTCACAGTCTGTTTACACGTCCAGTGAGGTTACAGTTCATTACCTACAGAGAAACGTTTAGACTGAACTTAAAATATGTAAGGAGGCAGCTCTAGGCTAAACTTGATTTAGCAATATAATCTACTAATTCTTTTTGTAATAAAATTATTTAATTTTCAGGTGATAAGATGAAGTATCAGTCATTGAGATGTTTCATACCCAGTAGAATCTGGGGTGGATATTTGCTTTTGTGAATGGCCTTCACATTAGGAAGTGCATTTAGGAAAATCGGGTATTGCATTTTCATGGTTATTTGAGCTCAAAGATTTTATTCCTTTATTGGCCAGATCATTTGGTACAAAGATCAACTAGAAAGAAAGTTTCATGTATTGAGTTTTTGGGAAGGGCTGTTTTAAATACTGTTAAGACGACTGATTTATCTTTCTTTACTTAGTAGGGGGAGGTAGGAGGGGCATACCAGAATTCAGAAGTGCGACCACCATAACCACTTCACTTTTCAATTTATTTTTCAGTTCTAGGATATATAAGCAGACAAGGAGGGTCTCTAGGAACCATAGGAGTTTAATCCACGTGAGCCATCAGCCTGATTTACAGCTTCCTGCCCTGCAGCCTGTTCTTCCCTAAACCCTGGGTGGACTATAGTAACCTAGTTGGTTGAAACCAGCTCCTGACAGACCCTGGCAACTTAGAGATGAACCCTGGTGAATCTTCCTCATGACTGTAACGTCTCCATCCTGGAGGAACTGTAGTTCCGTTATCATAACATGTAACCCATGTGTTGCCATGATGACACTGTGTCTGCACCGCTGGGACCCCTCATCTACATGCGATAATGCACCCTCTCCCCTCTCCATCACCCCATAAAACCCTCCTGCCACTTTCCCTCAGGGAGACACTGCTTTGGAGAATACACCCAGTGCTCCCCTTACTTGAGCCAAGTAATAAAACTCCTATTGATCAAAATCTGCATTCTCGTGGAGAGTCGTTTGTTGCTTGACAGGTGAATGAACGCTGTTTGTTTTTTTCGGATAACAAATATGAGGTATTAAACAAACAAACAAAAAACCCCAGACTTGAAGCTTTCCCATAATAACAACAAAGAGTTTGAGTAAGAATTCCACAGCTTGCCTTCATCTGTGGCAGACTTGCATGAATCATTTTCAAATAAAGATAATAACTCAGTTGGTCTTGTAGTCCAAACAAAATGTGCTACTTCAGGAACATTCACTTCCTATGTGGACTTTGCTGCTGAGTCAGTGTGAGACCTTGAACAAGTCTCTGTTTGTTTCGTACCATTCAGATTTCCTCGTCTGTAAACATTAAGTATCTACATTCACTAAAAGTAGTTCTGAATGAATGTTATTTAATGGTGCCAATGATGTTGGAGGATACCTGTGGTAAGTGGTTTAATTTATTTTTGCAAGTTGGTATAATATCCATACTATATTGACCTTAAAATAGATGGACAATGTGGATATGTGGATGTTTTTGTTATTGAGAAGGGGGTTGACTGAGAGTAAAGGACAGTTTGATTTGTTTTTCTACATTAGTCCTATTCATCTGGCAAATGTGAAATCTCCATTTCGTCATTCATGTTCCTAAGGTGGGTACTAGATATAGTTACATTTTCTTGCCAAAGTAAAACTTGCATCATATACTTAGGAACGTGTGGAGCACTTCTCAGAGCTGTGCTTAATCTCAGGTGCCCAGAAATGTTGAAACTTGTTTACAGAACTTTGGACTCATCTCTGATTTATTAACTCAAGTTATTCCCTGGACCTATAATTAACATCTCACCAGCCTGATATTTTCCTCAACCACTTAACACAAAAGAATGATTATGGAGCTTCACATGCAACATTATCCCTTAAAATTGACTCTAAACAAGGATTTAAAATAAGGTTGTTTCCATGTGCACAGGTGATCAAATCATTGTGTGATAAAACGATAGATTTTTTTATGATGTGTTTTCATATCTCTGTGACCTTTTTTGTTAGAGAGGTGATACCATTGAGTCCCGGGAGACTTAGGCTAACTCTTAATATACAAAAGGATAAATACTTTCTTCTTCAAATAATTCCAAGCTCGTTTTACTCCTTTAAAATAATTTTTAGATATACTTGTCAAATTCTGTGAAATATTCATGTATGAATTTTGATTGAAACTTCATTAATGATGTATTTATCCATTTCTTTTTCTTTTTAACTTAAAATTTATATTTGTTTATATAAAATTTCTGAACATATTATTTTTAAAAACTAGTTATAACTACTTTAGAATTTTTGGTAGCTATTATGGGAAGTTTCTTTGTATTATTACTTTATTATTGTTACATTATATAATTGTTTTTATTGGAAAATAATGATATTTATTTGTATATTGATCTGGCACCATAAAGCTTTCTGACTTTTTGTTTTAGTTGCTTATTTACATATTATCTTAAAAGTTCTATGAGTATGGTCATATGAGCCAACAATAATGATTTTACTAATACCAATTCCTGTATTAGTTTCCTAGGCTGTTGTAACAAAGTGCCTTGACTGAGTGGTTTTGAAACAAAGAGAGCTTATTCCTTCATGGTTCTGGAAGTCTGAAGTCTGAAATCCAGGTGAAAGTAGGGCCGCACCCTCTCCAAAGCTCCAGGGAAGAATCCTTCCTCTCCTTTAGTTTTCTCAGTGGCCCACAGTACTTGGCGCCCTGTGGTTTTGCGGCAGCAGGTCCACCTCTGCCTCTGTCTCCACATGGCTGTCTTCCCTATGTGTCCATGTCCAAATTTCCCTCCTATGAGGAAACCACAGATACCATGTATTAGATTATAGATCCCTCTAATCCATGATTACCTCATCATTAAATCTGCAAAAAATCCCATTTCCAAATAAGGTCACATTCACAGGTTCCAGTTGAACAGGCATTTTTAGGGGGCTGAAGGGTGGCACTAATTAACCCAGTAAACTCCACCAGCTGGCACCCCAAATTCATGTTCTCCCGTGTGCAAAATACATTTACCCATGTCCCCCAAATTCTTAACCCATTTAAGCGTTAACTCTAAAAAATGTCACATTAATATCAACTCAAAAAGTTACAAATCTCATCATTGAAATGATCTAAATTAGGTATGGGTGAGACTCTTAGTTTTCATCCATACTGGGGCAAAGTCCCTTCATCCACAGAACTGTAAAACTAGAAAACAAATTATCTGCTTCCAAAACACAATGGTGGAACGTATGAGGTTGTCTCTATTTTGCCTTCATATTCTGAAGAATACATTTGTTGGATGTAGAATTGTGGGTTGGCAGTTTCTTTCCTTGCATTACCTTATAATATTTTTCAACTGTCTTCTCACATCTAAAATTTCTGACAAGAAAAAGATATTTGAAACATTTTTTGCATGTATGTAATATGCCATTTTTGTCTGGCTTGTGAAAACATTCTTTCTTTGGCTTTAAATACTTTGACTATTACATACTTGCTCATTTTAATGATGTTTGCTCACACTTGGAATTTACTGAGCTTCTATAATCTGTAAATTTATCTTTTACCTAATTGAAAAAGTTCAGTTTTTTTTTTTCAATAATTGTGTGTCTGTATGTCCCATTTTCTTTCTCTTCTGCTGTGGAACTGCAGTTACATGGATATTGGAACTTCAGAGATTATTTCACAGGTCCATGAAGCTTTGTTCACTTTGCTTATCAATCTTGGTATTGTTCAGATTTTAAAAAGTTCTGTTGATCTCTCTGACCCCTTTCTTTGTCAATTCTATTATTCTGTGAAGCCCAATTAGTGTGTGCTTACTGCATACATTGTATTTTTCCCTTCTTGCATTTCTTGTTTGTTTTGTTTTGTTTGTTTGTTTTTGTTTGAGACAGCATCTCACTCTGTCACCCAGACTGGATTGCAGTGGTGCAATCTTGGCTCACTGCAGCCTCCACCTCCCAGGTTCAAGCGATTTACCTGCCTCAGCCTCCCAAGTAGCTGGGATTACAGGTGCATGCCATCACACCCAGCTATTTTTGTATTTTTTGTAGAGATGGGGTTTCACAATGTTGGCCAGGCTGGTCTCGAACTGTTGACCTCAGGTGATTAGCCCACCTCAGCCTCCCAAAGTGATGGGATTACAGGTGTGAGCCACTGCACCTGGCTGATTCTTGCATTTCTGTTTGAGACTTTTTCCTAGTTTCTATTTGCTGATGAAACTATTTGTATTTTGATTATTAAGAGCATATTTCTTTTTACACTACTGAGTGTAGTTAAAATAGTTAAAATAATATCCTATGTGCTTATTTCAACATATGTTCATTTGGGTATTGTTTTCCATAGGTTGTCTTTTCTCTTGAGAATGAATGAAATATCCATTCTTTCTTCACCTATTGACTGGATTTGTATTGTTTCTTGAATACTCTGAAGATGTAGAGACTGAATCCTGTTATAATCCTTAATAGAGTATTGATTTTCTAAATTTTAGCGGACAATTATTTTAGACTCATGAACATTGTGTTTTGAACACAGCTCAAAATTCATTCCAAAGTGCTTTGATCCTGCCTTGTGTATGCATGGTTTAAGGTTGGTTAGTTAATTGGCTGAAATTTGTGCATGGGATCTGGGCTCCCCGTCTCTGGCCATCTCCTTTCTGGAATATCTCCCTCACTTTCTGGTGGAAATGATTATTTCAAACTCTGTTCTCCAGTTCTTTAGAACAGAAAAAGTATGGGTTTTCTATCAAGGATTTACTTATTAATGCTGACTGCAATCTGCATTGAGGCTAAAATAATTGAGAACACAGGAAAATTACCCCATGCCATTCTTTCTTCCAAATTGATTCCCTCCTATAATCTTTCAGCCTCTGCTCAATCTGCACTGCCTCCAGGCTACTATTCAAAAAATTTATCCAGGTTTCGAGTGGTTATTTGTGGGGAAATTGGCCTGGCAGGAGCATCTTTGGCCATGCCTGAAGTGGAACACATACAAAATGCTTTTTTGCATTGTCTTTGGCTGAAGCCACTAATATTTCAACTTCCCAAAATATGTCTCTTCTTCATGTATTAACTTGGGATTTTCACAATTCTTTTATAATATTAATTTGGACTACAAATTTGTGCGAAGATCGAAGTAGAATTTAATTTGTTGTAAAAAGCATTTTCTCCCCCAACTGAGTCCCATTCAGATGGCTACTTCACTTGGAGTATTTTTGTCCCTATATGGGGGCATTTTCTCTTATTATTAATAGTAGCTTTTCAATAGTCCCCAGATTTTGCAAGTATCTACTTGAAATTCAAGTATAAGCTTAAGACAGTAACTAGTCTCTTATCTCCTCTTCTCTTATGGGTATTTAAACCTCAACCATTTCACATTCTTCTTTTCATGCTGAGAAAATTATCTTACACCCAGTAAATATGCAGAATCTTTAAAGGACTGAAAAAAATAGGGAAATGTTTAACGTAGTTATCAAGGTAGGTACCTCACACAAGAAACTGCTTGATGATGAACATTTAAGTTTCAAAGCAGGAAAGATAGCCCTTGTGATGAAGGCGATTAGAACGTGATACAAATGACTCTTAGTTTTTCAGTGGACCAGAGCAACAGTTACTGGTTAGTTCAACAGGTGAGACTCAGTCACAAAGAGTTTACGGATCTCGCTGAAAATAATGAAGACAGGTACCATGGCAGAATCACTACCCTATACACAACTGACTCTCTGAGATGAGTGCCTAAACCACATGGCAACCAAATAGGTATTATAATTAGTTTGTGAGAAAGTGGTAATAGTACTTGTTGCAAATCTTGATGTTGTTTTATTAAACAAAACTAAAATATAATTTTATTTAATATTAAAATAATGTTGCAAATATCAATTGATGTAAAATTTATTTGCAGAATCAAAATTCCTATAAGGAAGTATTATAACACTAGGAAGAAAATTATTTTAAGACAGTGACTCATGAAAAAGTGTTATGTGCTATCTGCGAAAATATGCCAATACTCTCTTGGCTGAGAATACGCCAAGAAGATCTTTGTAGTTTTGAACATTATCTTTATTACTTGATTAGCCACTTTTGGAACTGTAAAATGTAATTTAAATGGCTAAAAAATGAATACATTAAGACAATAAGCACTTTAGGCATTTATTATGAACCTGCTATATTTTTATGAAAATGCCTATCAGCTTATTATTTCTTTCAAACTCTAGTCAATACCAAATCTCATTTTTGATTTATGTTTTCCTAATAATGAATTCTTTATTGAATTTAGTTACATGACACTGAGAACAAAGATTTTGCCTCTGGCTGTTATCTAAGCAAGGAAGCTCAAAAAACATTATCTACATACTCTTAATTAGAGAAATCCCTTAAAATATTTTAAACTTCGTGAAAATTCAGACAGTCAGGAGATGCATTTATTATTAAGATTATTTTCAAAACCAAAGCCTTATTAATAAAAAATGAAATGAACAACGTGACTTTTGAAGTTTCAGTCTGTCCACAGCTAGCTGTATAACTTTGGGAATCTTATTTAAGATCTCCATTTCCTAATTAGTAAACTAGGAATTCTATTAACGTCTTCAAAAAATTGTTGTGAGGAATATATAATATATGCATAAAATGTGGACACAGTATTTGGGCCATGATAGTAAGTGTTCAAGAAAAATTTTTTTATAAACTTTCTTCCCTATATTCACAATTTGTATTGTAATTTTAAATATATTTTTTAGAGTAAACCATGACATTTTATTATACATTTGTTTTCACTTTAAATGGATCTTAGCTACAAGGTTGTTTGAACAATATAGTCTATTCTAATCCATCAAAATAAAAGACTAACAAAATAGAAATTCGAAATCTCATAGTGAAGTACACTAGCAATGAATTCAAAGATATAAAGAGAAATCTCTTGTGAGAAATAATAAATCCAAGTCACGTTGGCTTAAGTGATTTCTGGAAATAGAAGAGAATAGGCCACTCTTATTTGCCTGGTATTCCTGGGGGATAAATTGTGCCTTTACAATGAAACTAGTGGTGGCTTGCCCTGCCTGTCCTCAATAGTATAATGTCAGTGACTGCCAAGAATGCAGCTTTCCCAGGATCAAGAATGGAGCCTGCTTCTTTACCATGTTTCCAGAATGATATGCATGTTGCTTAGCCAAATAATTAAATACTTCACATTTTAAGACTTGTTGTTTTCTCTGATTATGATAAAAACAAAATAAAGAAAATATTTGTTAGTCTGAAAAGATATGGTAATGGGATGTCAGGGGAAACGACAGAGTAAGGATCTCTGAAGTTTTTCCAATCTATAAAAACAATGAGAATGCTTTCAAAAATGAGCAGAATCAATCCTTTCAGGACTTGGGAAATTAACCAAAGGCTTGTAACAATTCAGCAGGTTTATTCAAAAAAACTAGTTTAATCTTGGTAAGAGCAGCACATTTTATTGAGTGTTAACATTGCTTTTCTTTTCTCCTCATTTCCACCCCCACCGGGGATGACAGCCCTAAAACTCGCACACAGTAGTAGGAAAACCAGCAGCCTGCCAGCCACTGGGGGCCAAAACAAGTTTGGGGCTTCATCAAAACCCAATTCCAATAGGATCGTCACTATTTTAATTGTCTGATGGTTCCTGGAAGACCCTACTCACAAGGCTTGCCTTTATTTGACCTGACTCAGAGCTTACTCAGAGCAACGGTCTTTCTGCAGGGCATGTATTGAAAGTAGTTAGGAAAATAGAAAGTCACATATATGCATACAGCTGTGGACGTGCTCAGAAATCATCTGAAATGGCCATAAGCTCTCACCTCTGGCTCACCTTTCGGCGCTGCTCAAGCAAAAAGTGAAGGATAAGGCAGAATTACCAAGTGCCTGGTGGAGTCCTGAAGGCATGCCTGAACTCATATGCAGAACCCATCAGCGAAGGCTAGAAGACTGATTGCTTCCAGGCATTTACGGAAATGTCTTTTGAATCATTAGGTGACCACAAAGCTAAGCAAGCAGAGACTTCAGTGATACGTGTGACAAAGAACAGAGACTTTATAGAACTGGTTCGGAAAATTAATTAATAAGAAACAGCAAGAGAAACAAGCAGTGGCAGCAACAAACACCAGAAAGGGAGAGTATCTGATGTCCAGTGTTTACACATTATATTATTAAAAATTTCCATTTTCAAAAAACACTTTAAGTCAACTATTATATACATGCTTAAACTGGGTTGAAGACCCCCAAATCCATGCCCACTCATAAACTCAGAATGTGAGCTTATGTTAAAATAGGGCCTTTAACTATATAATTAGTTAAAATTAGATCATACTGGACTAAAGTGGTTCCTAATCCAATATGACTGGTTTTCTTATAAGCAGAGGGAAATTTAGGCACAGATACATATAGAGAGAGCACCAAATGAACACAAGAGTAAAGGCAGAGGCATACAATTACAAGCCAAGGAATGAAAAGGATTGTCAACAACCACAAGAAGTTGGAAGACAGGCATGGAATATAAATTCCTCTAGAGCCTTCAAGGGGAGCATCACCCTGATGACACCTTGATTTTGGAATTTTAGCTCCCAGAACTGTGAGATAATAAGTTTCTATTGTTTTGAGCTATTTAGAGTGTGGTAGTTTATTAAGCAATCCTAGGAAGCTAGTACAATTCACAAAGACCTAAACACAATCACATCTATAATTAAAATATGAGACTATTTCACCAAATAAAGACAATCAATAAAGAAATAGAAGTTATATTTAAAAACCAAATACAAATTCTATAGTTTAAAATTGCATTAGCTAAAATAAAAAAAATCAACAGGAGGTTTGAGCAGGCATATAAAAGAAATTAGCAAGCTAGCATATAAATCAACTGAGATTATCCAGTGTAAGGAGCAGAAGGAAAAATGAATGAAGAAAAATGGAACTATCCACAGAAACCTATGGAACATTAATAAGCACAGCATTATACACAAAATGGAATTCCAAGAAATAAAGAAGAGAAAGGGAAAGAAAGAATATTTAAAGACACAGCGACCCCAAAAGTAACAAATATAGTTAAAAAATTACACATCCAAAAAGCTAAAAAGATTATAAATAAATGCATACATCTATGCATAGAAACATTATAATCAAATTGTTGAAAGCCAAAACTAATAGAGAATCTTCAAAACAGCATGAGAAAAATGATCCATTATGAATGAAAAAAATCTAAACAAAATTTAGAAATGACTTATTTTCAGATGCAAAGAGGCTGGAAAACAAGATGGAGACATAATCAAAGAGCAGAAAGAAGATACTTTCAACCAAGAATTCTGTATCCATCAAAAGCTACCCTTCAAAATTAAAAGAGAAGTTGAGATTTCTCAGAAAAACAACTAAAATAATTTGTCACTAGAAGATCTGCCTTATAAGAAATAATAAAGGCTGAGTGCAGTGGCTCATGCCTGTAATCCCAGCACTTTGGGAGACTAAGGAGGGAGGAGTGCTTGACCCTAGTACTTTGATACCAGCCTTAGCAACATGGCAAACCCTTGTCTCTACAAAAACTTTTTAAAAAATTAGTGAGGTGTGGCGGCACACCACTTTAGTCCCAGCTACTCAGGAGGCTGAGATGAGAGGATCACTTAAGCCCAGGAGGTCGAGGCTGCAGTGAGCTGAGATTGCATCACTGCATTCCAGCCTGGGCAACAGAGTGAGACCCTGTCTCCACAACAACAACAACAACAAACAAACAAACAAAAAACTGAAGGTAGTTCTCTAGGTTGGAATGACAAGACACTAGTTAGTAATTCTAATCCACAAAACTAAATGCAGTAAATAAAGAGCACAGGTAAATATAATTAAATAGGTAAATATAAAGGACAGTATAAATGCATTCTTGTTTGCAACTAGTGTAACTATTATTCTTCTGTATGATTTATAAGACAACTACATAAAACTAATTATTAATCTGTTTGACATGCATGCATAAAGATGTAATTTGACAATAGCTCAAAAGAGAAGTCAGAGAAGAAGCTTACAGTAGTAAAACTTATTTTATTATTGAAACTAAATTAGTGTTAATCCTGACTAGCTTGTCATAATTTAAGATATTAATTGTGATCTTCAGGTAAACAACTAAGGAAACTTTTCTAAATATTAAAAAATGACAAGAGAATTAACATAGTATATTTGAAAAATGATTTAATTTAAAAAGAAGGCAGTAATAGAGAAATAGCAGAAAGCATAAGCCATAAGATTTTTAGAAAACAAATAGCGAAATGGTAGATGTGAGTGCTATATTAAGAGTAATTACATTAAATGTAAATGAATTAATAGTCCAGTAAAAAGTCAAAGATTGGCAGAATAGATTTTAAAAAGTGATCTATGCTGTCTGTAAGATGCAGACATTAGATGGAAAGACAGTTGTTGTAAAGAAATGATAAAAAATGATAGAACAGGCAAGCAGTCGAAAAAGGAGAGCCGAAGTGGTCATGCCAATATCCAACAAAATACTTTAAAGTAAAAATTGTTACTGCAGAAGAGTATTTTATAATAGAAAATGGTCAATTCATCAAGAAGATATAAAAATTAAAAACATATATGCACCTAACAACAGAGCCCTAAAATACATATAGAAAAAAATAATAGAATTGAAAGCAAGAAGAAACAACTTGACAATAAATTACCAATTTCAATATCCATCTTTCAATAATATATAGAACATTTAAACAGCAGATCTGCCAGGAAATAGAAGACTTAAAGATAATATAAACTAATTAGACCTGAAACGTATGTATAGTACTCTCCATTCAATGACAGAAGAATACACATTCACCTAAAGTGCGCATGAAACATTTTCCAGAATTGACTATAAGATTATAAATTATAAAACAATGATGAAACAAAACTATTTTTAAGTTAAAAGTATTAAAATCATGTAAATTTGTTCTTTCACCACAATGGAATGTAATTTGAAATCAGTAATAAAAGAAGGAGAAGGTCACAAATATTTAAAAATTAAACAACATACTCCTAAATAAACAAGAGATTAAAGAAGAAATTACAAGGCCAATCAGTACTCTGAGGTACATGAATTCAAAACTACATCAACTCTTACGGAATACAAGTAAAGCAGGGCTTATAGGGAAATTTATAGCTGTAAATGCCTATATTAAAAAATAAGATTAAAAATATCAATAACCTAACCTTCTACCTTAAGAAACTAGAAAAAATATTAAGCTAAACAAAAGCTAGGAAAGAAAATATTAAAATTATAGTAGAACTAAATGAAATAAAGACTATAAAATCAAAAGAGAAAATCAACAAAACTGAAAGTTATTTCTTTGTGATAAGATCAATAAAATTGACAACCTATAGCTAGATTGACTGCATTGGAATGAATAGTTGTGCCCCACACTCCCAAAATCATATGCTAGAATTCTACCCCTCAAAGTGGTAGTATGAGGAGATGAAGTATTTGAAAGGTAATTATGTCATGAGGGTGGAGCCTTCATGAATGGCATTAGAGCCCTTATAAAAAAGGAATCTTAAAAAATCTTGTCCTTTTTCCACTATGTGAAGAAACAATGAGAAGACAGCAATCTGCAACCCAGAAGAGGGCCCTCACCAGAACCCAACCCAGCTGACATCCTAGTCTTTAACTTCCAGCCTCTAAAACTGTGAGAGATAAATCTTTGCTATTTATGAGCCGCCCACAATGACTAAGAAATTAACTAAGAAAAAAGAGAAAATACTTGAATTAATATTATACAGGGTGAGATAGAAGACATTACTATAGAACTTGTCAATATAAAAAGAATGATAAGAAACGTCTACTAACAAGTGTATGCCAAGAAAAAATGAATAATCTAGAAAAAATAGACAAATTATTTGAAAGATATACAACATCAAAACTTACACAAAAAATCCTCAGAATAGAATTGTCACAAGAAAAGAGATTGAACTTATTATTTTAAACCTTTCCCCAAAATATGCCATACCTCTGTGGCTTTACTGGTGAATTATACCAGACATTTAGTGAAGAACTAACAGTACATACTCACAAACTCTTCCAAAAAAGTGGAAGAAAACAAAGCACTTCCCAGCTCATTCTATGAGACAAATATTTCCCTGATACCAAAACTAGAAAAAATATTATAAGAAAAGATCTATAGATAAATATTCCTTATGAATATTGATAAAAATCCTCAATAAAACACCAGCAAACTGAATCTAGCAACACATCAAATAGATGTATAGACCATGATTAAGTAAGATTTAATCCAGGAATGCAAGGTTGGTGTACCACATGAGTATCAATCAGTGTAATACATCATGTTAACATAACAAGCAACAAAATACATTTATCACCTCAGTAGACACAGAAAAAATAAAATTTTCATAACTAAACACTCAACAAACTAAGGCTGTAAAGAAACTTCTTCAACCTGATAAAGAGTATTTCTAAAGAAACATTCAATTAGCATCACAGTTAATAATAAATGATTGAAAGCTTCCCCTCTAGGATCAAGGAAAAGGACCATGATGCTCCCTGACAATACATCTATTTAACATTGTACTGGAGGTTCTGGCCAGGGCAATTCATCAAGGAAAGTATATGGACCACATCCAGACAACAGTCTCTATTGCACATGACATAATATTTTGTATTTTAAAACTTAAGGAAATCTCAGAGTATGCATAAAAATAATACTACAGCAAATAGATGAGTTTAGCAAGGTTGCATAATGTAAGATTAATATATACAAATCAGCTGAATATATACAGAAGCGAAGAACAATTTTAAAATGAAATTAAGGAAACAATTCAATTTTTAATTCCATCAAAAATGATAAATACTTAGAAATACACTTAACAAAAGAAATATAAAACTTACTCACCAAAACAATAAAACATCATTGAAAAAATTATGTTTTATCTTTGAAACAAAGAATATACTGCTAAACAGTATATAAAGATAACTTGTGTTCATGTGTTGGAGGAAAATATTGACAAGATGCTTTGCTACCCAAATTTTTGAACATATTTAATATAATCTCTGTCAGTATCTTAGCAGGCTTTTATTGCAGAAATTAAAAAGCTGATCCTAAATTTATATGGAAATACAAGGGATCTACAACAGTCAAAACAATCTTGAAAAGAACAAAGCAGGACTCCATCTTTCTGATTTTAAAACTCTCAAAGCCACAGTAATCAAGAATGTGTGGTACTGGTATAAGGATAGACATAGAAATCAATGACCTAGAACTGAGAGTTTAAAACCATTGCATATAAGATAAGCCAGTTTTTATAAGGGCACTAAGACAATTCAGTGGGGGAAAGAACAATCTTTTCAACAAATGGTAATGGCACAAGTGGATATTCATAGGAAAAAGAATGAAGGTGGATTCCTACCTCATATAATTAACTCAAAATATATGTGTTAAAATGATAAAACTCTTACAAAAAAAGAGATATAAATATTTCTGGCCTTGGAATAGGCACTTTTAAAAAATAATGTAATGCCTAAAGCACAAGCAAGAAAAGGAAAAATAGATAAATTAAACGTCATAAAAATTAAAATGTCTGTGCATCAAATGACACTATTAAGAGTGAAAATACAATTCATAGAATATGAGAAAACATTTGGATATCATATATGTGATAAGGGACTTGCATTCAAGACGTATAAAGAATATTTATAAGCTCACAAGAAATACACAAATGATAAAAATAAATAATTTTAATAGACATTTATCTAAGGAAGATAATGTGAATGGCTATCAAACATGAAATAGGAAAAGATGTTCAACGTCATTAGTCGTTGTCAAAATCTCAATAAGATACCACTTCATACCCACTAGGGCAGCTATAATAAAAAAGACTTGCAATAACAAGTATTTGAGATGAGGTGAAGAAATTGGAACCCTCCTAATTGTTAGTTACAATGCAAAATGGTGCAGCTACTGCAGAAATCAGTCTGACAGTTAAATGATTAAACTAGTTACTATATGACCTGGCAATTCCACTTCTAGATACACACCCTAGAGAAATAAAAACATATGTCCAAACAAAAACTTGTACATCAAAGTTCATAGCAGCATTTTTTTTTTTTTTTGGTCAGAATGTGGAAACCAAAAACAAATATAGCCAAAATGTGGAAACAACCAAATGTCCATTTAAGAGAGAGTGAATGGGTAAATAAAGTGTTGCATAGCCCTACAATGAAATATTATCCAGCCACACAATAAGTGAAGTTCTGGTACATGGTAACATGTGGCTGAATCTTAAAAACATTATCGAAGATAAGGAAGCTAGAAATCTTAATATAAAAAATATAAAATGTCCAGAAATAGTATATCCATAGAGACAAAAACTAGATTAGTGTTTGCCAGGGCTGAGGGAAGAGGAGAAGTTACTGCTAGTATGGAATTTCTTTTTGTTGTGTGAATACATTTGGGAATTATATAGTAGTGATGAATGTGCAACTTTGTGAATACATGAAAACCACTGAAGTGTACACTTTAAAATGGTTCATTTCATAGTATGTTTTTATCTGTATTAAAAAACAGGCCAGGCATGGTGGCTCATACCTATAATCTCAGCACTTTGGGAGGCCAAGGTGGGTGGATCACTTGAGGTCAGGAATTTGGGACCAGCCTGGCCAACATGGGGAAACCCCATCATATCTAAAAATTAAAAAAAAAAATTAGCTGGGCGTGATGGCACACACCTGCAATCCCAGCTACCTGGGAGGCTGAGGCAGGAGAATTAGCTGGGCCTGGTGGCGGGCGCCTGTAATCCTAGCTACTAGGTAGGCTGAGGCAGGAGATTAGCTTGAACCTGGGAGACAGAGGTTGCAATGAGCCGAGATGGCAGCACTGCACTCCAGCCTGGGCAACAGAGCGATTCTCTGTTTCAATAAACAAACAAACAAAAAACAGTATGTGACAAAAATATAGCCGTGGAATGAGGAAACAAACTTTTATCATTTATAGCTAGAAATGGACATGTCTAGATATAGAAATTATTTTTCAGATGAGCAATGCAAGCATTCACTTCTTATATTTCAAAGACCCTCAGCTTTGCCACAAAATCCACAAGGGCATATATTATACAATTGTTTAACAGATGTTGATTTAGTGAAGTCAATGAGTCTTTAATGTCCATTTATTTATGTAGTAATGGTTGAGTTCCACCTAATGACTCTAGATTTAGTTATAACAGGATTTCACATATTTGGGCAATTCTTTATATATTTTTCACATTACTTTATATCATCCTTTCAATAACATTTCAGTTAGACTTGGGCATTTTTGTTCCCATTTTATGTATGGAGAACCTAAAGAAATGAGAACTTCAGGGTTTTATTCAAGATTGTGTAATAAATGATGGAGGCCCTACCAGTCCCAAACCCTCATTCTTAAATTACCTCCAAATACATCAAAGGGAGAACCCACACAAAGACAAATATCCACGTTAAACATTTCATGAGAACGCTTTTTCCTGCTAGCTTAAAAAAATCAAGCTGATATGTAGTTTCATGGTAGTGAATGAAACGCTCCTTAGACTTTATTTTTAAAGCCATTCTTCTTTGAATGGTTTGAAGAACCTGCAGTAACGCTCAGCTCTGCCTTGTGAAACAGAATGTTCATATCATCTTGTTACTCTTTAAAAAGACATTTTGGCTCTGAATAGTTCACAGATTAAAATAGGTTAACACGCAGGACGTTAATCTCTGTTTATAGAAAATACCGAGACAGATGGAGAAGTAATTATGAATAAAAATAGATCTGTTTCTCAAACAGATTCCTGTACAGAGGCATTTAAACATCAAAGAAACTGAAGGCAGGGGCAGGGTGAAACCTAGCCCGTTGCTTTGACACACCGTCCTGGAGTGACAAATAGGATATTGACAGGGGAATCTGTTTAAGCCTGGAGCCATAGCTAAGCTGGACTTCCAGTAGCTTCTATTATAAGTAGCTTTTTCTGTGCCACCTAGATTTATTTGGCTGTGCCACTGTAATTTTGGACTGGAACTGAATGAACACAGTGTTGGTCTGAATACTGCTGATCCTCTGCCTATAATAGGATCAACTGACATTACCCAGGTTGCTGAGGCATGTGAAGTGCCTCTGTAACCAAACTCCACCCTTGAGTCAGAGCCTGGTAATCCCTGGAGACTAACAGACATCCACGTGTTCTGCATGATTCATGCAACTGCTATCTGCAGACAGTTGCTGGGTGAAACGCCCTGTTAAGTGTTTACTCATTATGGCTACTTTGCCCAACTACCCTTGAGTTATTTTGACTTGGACTAGAAAGGAAAAAACGAGAGCCAACAAAATGGAACAAAGAATTTGCCCTTTCTCCTGAACATTAGGATCTTTGGTGATTTATGTGTAGCTTCCCTAGGATAATATGAGACTCATGTTTACAGGGAACATGGAAATCCAGGAAACAGAGACAGAAGTCACCAAAGTGAAGAAGCAGAAATAAAAGCCAGGCTAGTCGGGATAGTGTACAGATATGCAGTTAATATAATTACAGCAAAAACAGGCATACTTGTGCCAATCTTTAAAAAAGCGTTTTAAATCTGGGGTCCCCAATCCCCAGGCTACAGACTAGTACTGGTCCGTGGTCTGTAAGGAATGCACAGCAGGAGGTGAGTGGTGGGCAATTGGGCACAACCGCCTGAGCTCTGCCTCCTGTCAGATCAGCTGCGGCATTAGAGTCCCACAGTAGTGCAAACCCTACTGTGAACTGCGCATGCCAGGGATCTAGATGGTGCTGTTTATGAGGATCTAATGCCTGAGAAGAACAGTTTCATCCCCAAACCATCCCCCACCTACCACATCCGTGGACAAAATGGGTCCCTGCTACTGTTAATATTGGGGACTGCTCTTTTGAACGATGGTAAATGATTTTACTCAGTTTTGTTTTCTGAAAAGACTGCTTCAAATTAACTTTTTGAAGTTTTCCATCAAGTGTGTGTGACAAGTAAAGGAAATACTGCTACAAAAATATGATAATGGACTTGCCATTATTTAGCATGTTATTATTGCCCAACAACATTTTTTTCCTGGATGATAAGTATTTATTAGATATGACGGTTACAGAAAAATATAAGCATGAACAGTATGCATCTATTTGAATGCATAAGTGTGTTCACAGGTGGTTTCAGAGAGAGAAATTGAGAATGAGTTGAGGGGAAGAAGATTAAAAAGGAAGGGGGACTCAGAGATCTGCAGTGACCCAAATATCAACAAGGCTTGGGAACATTTTGGATCCTGACAAGGGGCTGCTCTCCAAACCACGTGTGTGCTCAGCGTTGTACACAGTTCAGTTTACTTCATGTGTTGGAATTCAATGGTGCCAAAGTACATTGGCAAACAAAGTGGACAGAAGAGATAATCTGCTTGTCAGCTAGAGACAGACAAGAGGCATGGAGAGGGGTGGCTGAAAATAGGGCCGTTGGCATGCGCTCAGGGACTGGAGTGGAGGAAAGTGCTTGGGGGCACTGCAAATAGCACTGATGGGGAAATCTAGGAGGTTGGGTCACACTGAGCCTGTGAGCCACGGATCAGGAGAAAACAAGACATGTGATAGGCAAACCCATGGGCTTCTGATGCAGGCGCTGTGCTGTGTTCCTCATGGGGCTCCTGGCAGATGGCTTGGGAGAGGGGCTTGTGTGCCTGTAAAGCCGTCTCCGGGGACCTGAGCTGCGAGGTGTGCGAAGTAGCCTCTCGCTCCTCATAGGCAGTTCTTTCACATATCTGCCAGAGGACGGCTCTTCTGCAAGAAAGAAAAGGAAACACAAACGGAGTGGAGGAGTCCTGTCGAGCAGCCAGCCCTGATGCTTTTAGTTCTCTCCCTCTTTACAGAGTTCACATCCACGCATGGCCACAGAGTAGGAGAGGTCACTGCTACGGTGATCAATTCATATCAAAACTACAATTATTTGCATAGCCACTGCCAAATATAAAGTGACCTTATATACATATTCTTATCTGGCATACACCTTTGGTAAATTCGCTAAAAAGGAGATGTTGCAGCACTGTGTTCTTGGCTATTTTGTTCACAAAAACACTTGGATCTCTTAAGGTAATATGAGCAAAATCTGGTTGTTTTCCAGCATGTAAAGTAGTTTAGTTGCTATAATATGACTTTTGTCCATCGAGTCACTTATTCACCTCTGCCACTGAATACTAACGTTTGGCCCTGAGACTCTCTGGCAGCAGGCACAGAGCCTAACCCACAGTGGGCTCTTGCTGTCTATATTTTTTTGAGACGGAGTCTCACTCTGTCTCCTGGGCTGGAGTGCAGTGGTGTGATCTCTGCTCACTGTAACCTCTGCCTTCCAGGTTCAAGTGATTCTCCTGCCTCAGCCTCCCAAGTAGCTGGGATTACAGGTGTGCCCCACCACATACAGCTAATTTTTGTATTTTTAGTAGAGAAGAGGTTTCTGCATGTTGGCCAGGGTGGTCTCTAACTCCTGACCTCAGGTGATCTGCCTGCCTCAGTCTCCCAAAGTGCTGAGGTTACTGGCGGAAGCCACCGCGCCTGCCCCCTTGGTGTCTATTCATGGGTCCAGTACAGTGATGCAATTGGAGGGAGTGGGGGGGAAGGAAGGTGACTTCTGTCTCTGTTTCCTAGATTTCCATGTTCCCTGTAAACATGAGTCTCATATTATCCTAGGAAAGCTACACATAAATCACCAAACATGCTAATGTTCAGGAGAAAGGGCAAATTCTTTGTTCCATTTTGTTGGCTCTCATTTTTTCTTTTCTAGTCCAAGTCGAAATAACTCAAGAGTAGTCAGGCAAAGTAGCCATAATGAGTAAAGATGGGGAGAGACAGAGAGGGTAAGGAAGGGAGAAGAGCAAGAGATAGCATGGAGAGGGAAGGGGCAGAAGAGAAAAGAATGAAGAGGAGGATGAGACTCAGAGAGAGGGAGAGAGGGAGATAGAGATGTGCAGAGAAAGGAAATCTTTCAAGAAATCTACAAAGTGTCAGGCACACCTTCTTGATTGATTTTGGGATGCCTATAAACAGCTATATAGTAGACATTAGGGGTGTGCTGGGTTTCTTTCATTTACCTGCATTAATTCTTCCCTTTTCCTACATAATTTTTCAGTCAGGGAAGCTGATTTCTATAGATTGTATTGCCTGGGCTCCCATGTGGTAGGTGGGAGGAGGGAGATATTAGCACAGGGTTGGCATTCATGCCTTCCTCACCCCGTGGCCCCAAGTTCTAACAGTGGTTAGGTCCCCTGGAGATGCAGTTTCTGTCAGGGACCCTGCTTTGGGGCTCCAGAGAGTTCTAGTAATAGAATAGAATTTTCCGTTATATGTCTAATTTATACCAAGAACCAAGAGTACCTGACTACGGCATACAGGTTACAAAAATCAACCTCTCCATCAAACGTGTTTTCCAAGAGCATCTCTTGAAATGTATTCTTCTCAACTGACAGGACAGAAAAGTAGGAAAACTGTGAGCCAATCCAAAAAGCTGCATAAAAAAGACAAGACAAATTTTTAGATTAAATTTTACTGTTAAGTTTGCTCCACAGAGGCATAGTGGAAGGCAGTGTTTGTGACACTCTTGCAGTTAATACACACACGAGAGTCACATTTCACCAGGCGTTTGGGGAAAAGTGAATCGACTAGAGGAGGAAAGAAAGCTGACATCCACCTCTTTCTTAATTCTTCCAATTCAGTAGCAGTGAGAAGCTTTTGGTACCAGTTGTTTACATGGGGCTTCACTCATTTCATAGCCTTTTCACATTATTTATCTCATTTGTTCTTCACAGCATCTCATGCTGTGGTTACAGCATCAATTGTGATGAATATAGGATACTGAGTCCCTCCTAGAAATGACTTCAGGAACTTCACCCCCCAACTCCACAATCTGGGAATGGCAGACAGATTCAGCACCAGGAGAACATCACATAAAGGACAAGTGTGTATGTTTAAAAATGGCAAGTTTCGGCCTGGCATGGTGGCTCACGTCTATAATCCCAGCACTTTGGGAGGCTGAGGTAGGTGAATCACGAAGTCAGAAGGTCGAGACAATCCTGACCAACATGGTGAAACCTTGTCTCTACTAAAAATACAAAAATTAGCTGGGTGTGGTGGCTCACACCTGTAATCCCAGCTACTCGGGAGGCTGAGGCAGGAGAATTGCTTGAACCCAGGAGGCAGAGGCTGCAGTGAGCCGAGATTGCTCGCTGCACTCCAGCCTGGTGAGAGTGAGATTCCGTCTAGAAAAAAAAAAAAAAAAAAAGACAAGTTTCTGCTTGACTTATAAGACCTAATCCAATGTATTTCTAAATCAAATAACAGATAGATGAAGGCATTTTTAAAGCAATTATCTCAGGTTTTCAAAACAGGTTTAAGAATGCGGTATCAAAGCCTGGACTAGGTTTCAATATTTCAGTATTTACAGATGACGTCTCAGAAAACAAAGAAGCCGTTATTGACAAGTGCTTTCCAGGCCAAAGGCAAGTGCCAGGGAGTATAGTGACAGTGGATTTGCTGCCAAACTGATGATTTTTTCTTGTTTTCTTTTCAGCCCTATTTGTCCTGGGCTCGGAATGTTGATGCAGCTATTTCTATTTGGTTATGGGTAAGGAAACGCTGCATTTATCACTGTGCCTACGTTTTCCTTCAAAGAGGCACGTGTAACTGTGTTCAATTGCAACTGAGAGCGTATTTTAAAAAGGAATTTGGCTTCAATGTCATTAACTGACCTTAAATAAATTGCTTGTGAGATTTTACAATATTAAACTTAGCTCAGAAGAAATGCTGAAATTAGTAAATAATGATTTTTAAGAACTTATATATGTCATCTTTTAAAAAACCTGCTACTTCAAATAACTTCAAAGTGAGGAAAAGCTTTTATCAGCTTTAGAGTTAAAATGCAGATGTTAATCGCAGGTTAGGATCTTGATAATTTCTAAAAAGACAAATGCAGCATTATTTGTAAAAGTACATACAGTCGTGTACAGCATAACAACGTTTTGTTCAACGAAGGACCACATATACCATGGTGATCCCTCAAGATTATAATGGAGCTGGCAAACTCCTGCCAACTCATCAGGCAGTCGCCACTGTAAGACTGTAGCAAAATGCATTAGTCCTGTGTTCGTGGTGATGCTTGTGTACACAGACTTACTGCACTGCCAGTCATATAAAAATACAGCACATACAATAAGGTATAGCACATAATACCTGACAATGATAATAAATGATTAGGTTACTAGTTTAATATGCTATAGTTTTTATTGTTATTTTAGATTGTACTCTTTATGTTAATATATTATTAAAAGGTCAGTTGTGAAACAGCTTCAGGCACTTCCTTCAGGAGCTATCCAGAAAAAGGCATTGTCATCATAGGAGATGCCAGCTTAATGCGTGACGTTGCCCCTGAAGACCTTCCAATGGGGCAAGAAATGTAGGTGGAAGACAGTGATAATGATCCTGACCCCGTGTAGGTGTAGGCTATTGTGTGGTTTGTGTTTTAGTTTTTAACAAAAAAGTTTAAAAATTAAAAAATTAAACAATATAAGAGCGCTTATAGAATACGGATATAAAAAGAGACAATATTTTTGTTCAGCTATACAGTGGATTTGTGTTTTCAGTGGAGTGTAATTACAAGAGTCAGAAAGTTAAAACAAAGTGAAAAGTTTATACTGTAAAAAAAGTTATAGTGGGCTAAGGTTAATTCATTATTGATGAGAGAAATTTTTTTGTACATTTTGTGTAGTCTAAGTGTACAGTGCTTGTAAAGTCTGCAGTAGCATACAGTAATGTCCAAGGCTTTCACATCCACTCACCACTCGCTCACTGACCCAGCCAGAGCAACTTCCAGTCCTGAAAGCTGCATTCATGGTGAGTGTCCTACACAGGTGCATCATTTTTATCTTTTATACCATATTTTTACTGTATCTTTTCTATGTTTAGATATGTAAATACCATTGTGTTACAATTGCCTACAGTATTCAGGACAATAACAGGCTGTACATGTTTGTTGCCTAGCAGCAGTAGGTGTGTAGTAGGCTCTTCTGTCTAGTTTTGTGAAAGTTCACACTATGATGTTTGCATAACAACAAAATCACCTATGGATGCGTTTCTCAGAATGTATCCCCATTGTTAAACGATGCATGGCTCTGTGTGTGTATGTGCAGGACTCTGTGTGTGTGGTATATGCATACCACATACGCACACATCCACACTATACTATGCACTCTACATATATACAACTACATAGGCAAATATAAAGCTGCATGTGCATAAATACACAAACAAACACACATACATATGTATAAAAGGTAATGTATTGATATTAATACTGACAATGTGTACTAAGCATATATTTATATACCCTTAAATGTATATTATTTTAATACATACTATATTATGTTATATACTAATACACTTTTTTAAAACTGAAAGAAATCTCGTTGCCAATTTGTGTTTCTAAATATGATGTCCATATTTTTTCTGATTTTATTACTATAGCTGTGATCACGTCATGTAACTTAATTTTGATGATGTTTCTCACAGTATAGTTTGAGGGTATCCAGCCTCAGATTATCTGAGGATGTAGCTCAAGATTTCCTAATTTTGCAAACAGCAAGCTTCCCAGGAGATTCTTAGATTCCTGCTAACAAAAGGCGGAGACTCACTGGACAGTTACTGAAGATAGACAGTAGGGGGCGGAAGGGCCCACGCTTCTTTGATATTGGTGGCTTTGGTTTTTCAGTGACGGGGGACACTTTGACTTCAGGTATGTTCTGCATTTAGAATTTTCAAATGAACGTTTCTTGTCTGTTCCCTTCTTTTTTCTGCCTCCAAACATAATGTCTATCATTGTAAAAGTAATAAAAAATCACTGAACAAAATTTGGAAAATACCAAATGAATAACAATAGAAATAAAGTAAAAAAAGAACCACTCAAATTCCCATCATCAAGAAATAAACATTCTGATAATATTTAATTTTATTTTCCTATATATATTGTGTGTGTGTATATATGTATGTGTATATATATACATATATTCAAAATGTATTATAACACAAAATGTATAAAATATATAATAGTATAAACAAAATTATATTATATATGTCATTTTCATGTCATATGTCAGATATAGCATATTAATACATACCCAGTTTTCTAAAATGCTGATCTCTTTGAAATATTCAATTATCAATTGTGTTTCTTTCCTCACTGAAGTTCCTTTTTACGACTTTTGGTAGTGAAGAGATAAAGTTCATTACAAAACATGCCAGGCTTAAGCAATTTTCCAAAGGGATTAACGAATTGCAGTGGCCGCAGGCTATGTAAAAATTTTTAAAAGGTGGTGTCTCTCATATTCTTCAGCATAACTTGGGTCACAGAAACCCAGGCATAAAAATTCATTGTGAACTCATATTCTACCATGGCCTGACACTGGTAAGTTATTTTGTTGCAAAAGCCTTAAGCAATTTGAGATGTCGAAGCACGTTTTCAAGAGTTAGCACATCTCCATTGTCTATAAACTGCATGCATATTTTATGCCTAAAAAATATTTCATCTTCTGATTTTCTAGCTTTCTTCTGCAGGTTGTTTTTTTTTTTTTAGAATATTTTTCAATCATTTTAATTCTCTATTGTAAAACTTGGAAATCTCTACTTATGGACTGCCAAGAACAGTCTGAAATTAAATCAATTTACTCTCACTCTTAGTGAATATTTTGGGAGTGCTAGGTATTGAATGTGTCCCCCAAAAGTTCATGTGTTAGAAATGTAATCCTTCTGCCCCTATGATGAGATGAATGGATGAATGAGGGCTCTGTTCTCATGACGGGATGAATGTTGCTGTCCCAGGAGTGGGTTTATTATCACAGCAGCGTTATTCTTGTGCCTGTGAGCTCTCCCTGGCTCCCTTGCTCCCACTCTGAGCATGTGATGCCCTCTGCCATGAGGTGAGGCAGCAAGAAGGCCCTCACAGATGCCGGCACTGTGGACTTCCAGCCTCTAGAACTATGAGCTAAATAAACTTTTTAATATAAATTACCTAGTTTGTCATCTTTTGTTACCAATAAGAAAAGGCAATAAGACCGGGAGGTTCTATTATGATGTCATTCATGGGAAAATGGTAGACAGGACAGAATCTTTGCTGGCTCCCTAGATACTGCCTTGGAATGTTACTCTTGGAAAACAGTGGCTACAGAGTGATGCCTTTCTCCATAACTTTAATTTACCTTAAGAAAAGCTTTGAGTGCTACTGAGTCGGGAATGAAAAACCTAGAGAATGTTCTGTCCTGTGGGAGCAAGGAGTATAGTTAGTCCCTGTATTACTACCCAAAGGGGCATGAGGCTTCACCCTCCTTGGGCTCCCTAGGGACTTATAATGCCTTCCTGTAATTATCGGGCCAGTTAATTTAATACTAATCCACTTAATTCAGTTAACATCAGATTTGTCCTAGGGATCTTGTTACATCCTTTTGTATACTAAAAGAGAAAAAGAAAAAAAAAAAGATTTGCTTCTCTTTCAATATTCCTGGGAAGTTGGATATCCACATGGAAAAGGCAGATCTCTAGTTCACAACAGATAAAAAATAAATTTTACTCAATGTGAAATTAAATGTAAAAAATAAAACTTCAACATTGTAGAAGAAAATATAGAAAAAGCTCTTTAGGTCTGTGAAGGAGAAAAGAATTATCGAAATCAGGCCATAAAGAAAAAGTACAAGTCATAAAGGCAATAAATATACAAATAGAGTTTAACCTCTGAAACACTTGACCGAATGTTCTGAGGTAAAAACAACAAACCAGCCATTGAAGGGAAGAACAGATTGACAGTGCATATAACACAGAAAGAAGTAGTAATCAAACTATTTAAAATTGCCTAATAAATCAAAAAGAAAAGACCAAAAAAGGAAAAAAAAAAACATTGAAGGATAAGAATAAGCAATTGACAGAAGAAGAATTTGTAATGGTCAATAAAGAGATGTAGTAATTTTTAAATTATAATAAACAATGGAAATAAACAGAATGCCCATTAGCAGGATAGGTGAATATACATATTTTTGTACGGTCATAAACTGGAGCGTATTATTCCCTAGATTTTTGTATTTCTGAAATTGTTTATTAAAATAGTCTTAGTCTCTCTAACAATTTAAACAAAGCCACTAAAAGGACCTGGTGCTATATTGTAAATTAAAATTTACATGCCAATGGAAAGAATTGAATTAAGCATAGTTCAGTTTGCATTTTTTTGAAGCAATGTATTTTTAAAGACAAAATAACTGAACTAAGATAACAATTTATATAAAAGAAAATGGCTGTTTCTGCTAAATAGCCTGTTGCATTTGAAATCTTTGCTATCTCTGTGGAGACCAGGAGCAATCTAAATGGAAATAAAGTAACTTTATAATTGTAAATGTGTATTTGAGTGAAAGCTAACTTTAGGGAATAGTAGAGAGTAAACTGGGTATTCACAGGTAAAGAGAGATAATTTCTAGAACAAAAAATGTCAGCCAGAAGAAATGGGCCAAATATTAGTGTCCTCGTTTGGATTTTAATGAAGTTGTCAAATTTATGGGCTATGATAACTTATAATGGGCAAAAGAATGTTAAGTAGTCTAGATGGGAGAGGGCAGAAATTACAACAACAAAAAAATTCAGACACCAAATGATGACACAATCTTCCAAATTATAAATCTGATCTCATTTTTATTCAGTGACATTTGATATCTCTCAACTTTCCACACTTTAATATATTCAGTAGTAAATTTGATAGGATTGAAAAAAATGACACTATAATTCCAAAGTCTTTTGCATAGATCATTTCTGAGAATCTGTGCCTAACCTAACCTCATTTCCAGAAACTTCTCAAGCTGCCCCATGTCTCAGGTGAGTAGAATGGAAAAAAAGACGCGATTAACTGCTCTAATATTTTATTTAAATTTAATATAAGCATTTGCCATTAGTTTACAAGTAAATGCTTTAATACGTCAAGATTCGTAGAGAAGATTCTGAATCTTGAATTTTGTCGATGACTCAGTGTTATGGAAAATCTAGAACAGCAGGGTCCCACCTCATGGTGACAAGAGATGGAATGTCCTAATCGTTTAATTATTGGTTGTAAAACCTATCCCTTGCAAAAACAGGGAGGCTTTTACGACGGCATTGTGTCTGCCTGCTAGCGCCCCAGGCAGCTTCGCAGAGCTTCCCAGTGCTGATGAGATGGTGGAGACTGCTTTTGTGATGATTTTCCAGAGTTTGTTTATTCATTTGTTCAAATAACATTGACTATGTGGAAATGATTATTTGGTGCCATTAAGAGATTGATTGTGTCTCATTCTTAAAAGTTATAGACTTTATAAACAAATGTTATCATTATATTAAATACTAATTTAAAATACAATAACAATTACATTATAATAAATACTATAAAAAAATAGAAAAATTATACATCTTGTCAGTCCAATCAACTGTAAAATAATATTACATGAGATACTGCCATAATACTTTTCAAGTTTCAAAATTGAAATCGATTAAACCTGTTTGAAAACCTATATACATGCGTTAAGCAAGATGCTACAGCTTATTTCTCTACTAGCTGGCTGTGACTTTCCCTTTCGTTTTCCCTATTTACTCTATTAGTGAGGAGCCCCTTATCTCGTATTTTAGGTCCACATTTGTACATAGTTCACAACAGGAATTAGTAAATAAAAGCTGCTGACAGCAGTACTTTAATTTCCCCCTGAAGCTCATTCATCTGGGAGGTAGCCAGCCTCTGTTACACCACAAAGACCTGGCTTCAAGCTTCCCGCCTTATTTTATGAGAACATCAGCCTCTCAAGTCCAGCTGATTATTTTGTTTCTTAAGCTACATCAGTATAGAAACAGAAGGAAAAGTGGAGGAAGTTAGGAGAATAGACCCTGAGTGTAGCAAGTAGTAAAGGTTGACAATCTGCTGGAGGAAAGTCAGCATGCAAAAGTCCAGAGATAGCTAAAACACACAGTACGAGGGGGAGTGGACATGAAGGGCAACCCAGACAGTCCGGATGCTTAGCTGAGTGAGCATCAGTCACCCCAAAGCCTGACTCATCTCAAACACCTTGATTTTCTCTACTGTATACCCCACACCTCACCATGAATGGAGAGTTGCTGTGGTTGATTTCACTCCTGAGTTACCATTTCTACAGATTTCACCAACAAGAACATGAGTGATTGTTTCAGTATTGACCTAAACTTTGACTCTTGGGGTTGAGACAGTTTTCTCAATGAACTGAGTTTGAACCCTGGTGGCAAGGTGGGTGCCAGGTGGTGTTGATGGTAGGACAACCCAGAGCTGTGATGACTCCCCAAGAGCACGGCCTATGAAACCTCATGGACTTGGCATGTTGTTGATGGAACATCCAAAGCATTGCATGAGATTCTCAACCATAAGGGATGGTCAAAATTAGTGTCACATAAGAAGGTACAATCAATTTTCACAGTCACTTCACTTTTAAGGAGGTAGAGTCAGATGTCCTGGAAAATAAGAGAAAACTAAGAGAAAATGAAAATGAAAGCCAAAATGGATCTCTTTGTGAAATATGTTCAGAGCATTAGAGAGTAGAGTAAAATGGTAATTCACAGAACTCCTCACCCATGAAATGAATATCTTGTGAGCAGGTTAGTCTTTTTCCATCTATTGAGTCAGAATCTGGGTGAGTCACACACTTCAGGTGACAGATGCCAAAACACCCTCAAAATTAACCAAAGGGTGCTGCTTAGCCTTGCAAAGCAAATACAAATATTCAAACAAACATCTCTCCAAAAGGCACCTCTCCACTTTCCGCTAACTAACCGTCTGTGCTATGTCTTTACCTAGAGCCCCGTGCTTGGGATGGGAACAGACGTGTTCCTGCGCAGCCCTATTATTTTCTTGTCAGAAGCCTGATTAGAGTGATGGAGAGGTTTATAATGTGTCCTGTTTTCCCCTGTAAAAAACACATTTCTCCTAAAGCCATTTAATATTTCATTGCCAGAATATCCAGTGATATAAAAATTCTGAAACCCTTTATTTTCTGTTGTATAGGTAAGAAAAAGAAAACATCAATTTACAGTTTACATGTAAATCCCACAGATAGCACTTAAAATCAAGTAGTAGATAACATAACCTGGCAGCCATCATAATGCTCAGCATTTTATAATTCAAAAAACATAACAATCAGGTTAAACAAATAGTATTTTTTATTAAATGTCACTCAATCCCAGGGCTGAGAATTCATTTGTGTTTTCCTCCTAGACTCAATCACCACAATTGCAATCAAAAGACGGCTTTAGTTGGAACCTGGAACGTGCTAATCCTGTCAGGCAGCCTGTGATTCTGGAAGTGAAGGAACAAAAAAAAAAAAAAAAAGGGAAAATTTCACATAAAATTTCCATATGAGGAAGAAGATGGAAACTTTTGTGTTGTGCGTTCAGTAAAACGGGCACTTTCTTAAGCAGGTGGCAAAGAAAGCCTGAGAATCCGGCCTGACTTTTTCATTTCAGAACCCTGCATTTCCCACACAGAGGAGATAGAGCACAGCCATTGCATGGTAGATCCAGCTTGCTCTCACAGCCATTGTGCAAATAAACATACATGTGGCAAGGCAGTGCAGTTTTCAGTTGTTAAAAGTTCTGTCATGCCACGAGATGGAGCAAAGGATAAACGCTGATGTAAACAGGCAACAGGACTCTGACTCCACACCCCTGTCTGCACGGAGGATGCTCAGTCCTTACACAACAAAATGTGAGATGCTTCCAGTCACCTCCTGGCCCTGACCCCTGAGCTCCGTGCTCACCCCACTGGAGGTCCTGGCAGTTCTCCGAGCAGGCTGTACCTGTCTGGGGTGATCCTCTCCACTTAATGTTAGACATTAAGTTCCCTGTGAAATCTGTTTTGACTCACTGAGGTTATGAATATTTTATCACAACTATCATCATATACTACCAAATCTCCAATTTTCTTATCTCCATTACTAGACTGTGAGCTCCCTGGAGGCTGGACCTGGGTTTGGCACCGAGTGGCACTCATACATACTTCTTGAATAAGAGAATGTATGTACACAGTGGCATGAAATTGATTTGAATTTGTTGGTTTTCTTAAGTGCTAAAGTTGTAGACAGTTCAGTAAAAACTATAAAGCGGTTACCCTGTAAACCATGAGTACTATTAATTGGAACCTCCTTTCTTACATATCCACTTGTGTTTCTGTTAATGTTTCCAAAATAAATAAAGAGCAGGCTAGAGGGAAACCTCCAGTCCTTAGAAACCACGGCACAAGAATACATCTGTATTTGCACTCTGAGCAAGAGACTTCCTGTTGTTGTGTATGTTTCATTAAGAGATCTGGGAAAAATTAGCCTTGTACCAGGATCTGAACTATAGTTTGAAAGTGTTTAGTGGGTACCAATGTTAATGGCATCATTTTTGAATGATATACAGGATATTTTTAAACACTTTCCTTCTGTTCCATTTTTACACTTTCATTATGTTTGCCAGCATTGGGCAGTTGGTTGCATTTACTGAAGTTTGAATAAAAAAATCTAAGATGAGTTACCAAAACACCTGCTAAACTCATCTTGCAAGATTGGTCAATAATAATTTTTATATTAGAGTCTCCCCTCTCTATAGACCTTCAATAATTATTTTTAACATCTGTTTTTCACTTCCAGTGTTATTTTAATTTTACTTCTATATAGGTTTCTATGGATGTCAGATGTTCCAAAATGATTTTTAGTTGTCATAAGCAAAATTGTTGTCATTTTGATAAAATTCCAACAGTGGATTCCAATTTGTTCATTCAAAAATAACATAAATTGCTGGCAAAAGTCAGTAGAAGATATTATATTTATATTTACATGGATTAAGCTGCCAGGAGTGCTATCAGAAAATTTAAATTAACATGGAATGGGATGAAATTTCCCCAAGTCAAAGATACCAACAGAGAGGCAAAGAGAGGTGGTCAGTGGTTAAAGACAGATGAGCAATTAAGGTACTTTCTTCTTAATAAAGATTGAGTTTGTACTTTGTCTTCTTGAAGTCTGGCAGAACATTTCACAGTAGTGGTTGGTGTTTGTAGTTTTGGATTTCCATATTTGAAAACTATACAGTACCTCCATCAGATTTGTTGTAATGGATCCAAATTTGGAAAGTTCTTTACATATTTAAAATGATACATGAGTGGTTCCAGATTCTCCATGGGCCTGATTTCTGGCTGACCAAGGGAATCTCTATTTGTGTCCTTCTCAGGGCTTAGATGCCTGCTGTGCTCACTCCTGCCGAGAGGCACGGCCACCATCTGCAGCTCCTGGCTGCACTTTCTAAACAGCTGCCTGGGTCAGTTCTTTTGACTAAGATATAGCCGAGTTGTACAGTTTACAAATGAATGGAAAATCATCACCCTACCAAGTCTTAAATGGTTATGACTCCATCACTCAAGAAACTTCAGGAATCAACATTTGGTGATCTGAAATACACTGAAGCGTCCACGTAGTGATGTTTGTGTGTTAGATTCTGCTCCATTTTCCAATGTCTTCCCCCATTTTCAGTCAACTCTTCATCTCTGCAGTGGTGGCTTTAAAACATGTCTACAAATGCCTTGACCGTCTTTCCAGTGGGAGGCAGAGTCTAACTCCCTGTCCCCCGAATGTGGGCTGGCCTTTGGGAAGAAAAGAATAAGGTTGAAGTGATGCTGCCCAACTTCTAAACCCAGTTCCTAAAAGGTACCTTTGGCCTTTCTCTCTCGCTCACTCTCTGTCTCGCTCTTTTGGGATGCTTGCTCTGTGGGACTGGCCATTCTAGTGTGAAGAGGCCCAAGTCATCTGGAATAACCAAGTGTAATATTAAAATTGTGCTTAAGCATAATATGAATGCAGAGTGATTAGTCCTGGGAATGGAGTAGAGGCTACGTGTTACTTTCCTGGGTAAAACAACAAAAACTTCTGTGTCTCTGTCTTTTTCTATAGCAAATGAGGGTTGGGGATGGGGCCTGTATGGATGGTGCAGGTGGTGTCTTCATCCTGAGGCTTTCTTATAAGACTAACAAACACTTGTACAAGTCCTTGCTTTCTTGTTCCTTGTTTTTTTTTTTTTTTTTTTTTTTTTTCTTTCTTCCTGAGACTGAGCCTTGCTCTGTCATCCAGGCTGGAGTGCAGTGATGCGGTGACGTGATCTCAGCTCACTGCAACATCTGCCTCCCTGCTTCAAGCGATTCTCCTGCCTCAGCCTCCCGAGTAGCTGGGATTACAGGCACGTACCACCATGCCTGGCTAATTTTTGATTCTTAGTAAAAAAGGAATTTCACCATGTTGGCCAGGCTGGTCTCGAACTCCTGACTTCAGGTGATCCACCCGCCTCAGCCTCCCAAAGTGCGGGGATTACATGTGTGACCACAAGGTCATTTCCTTGTTCCTTAATTATTAAATTTTCAAAGGCAATATATTGAAATATATGGGAATGTAGGAAAATAAAAAATGTAGTCAGAATAAAAACTCTACAGCCTTACTTCCTGCTGACATCATCTGGCCACAACTTTGCTCAAAAAATTCTGGGTACGTTAAGCCGTTGTGGCAATTGATTTTCATCACAGATGAATTTTGTTTTTTGTATTTTACTTCCATTTTTAAGTCTAAATAGAAGATGAATTATATGTTATGTAGGGTTTTTCATCTTTTGGTACCTCTGTGTCAAGGATAAATATAAATTGAAGAATTGGAATGACTTTCCCACTGCCAGGAATGGAATGCATTAACATTTAAAATTCACTAATTCTATTGATCTTCTAAGGGAAAAAATTGTTTAAGTTGTTCCTAAATCTATCTCTGACTTGTAGGCCCGTGAGAAGCAAAACCACAGCAGGAAGGAAGAATGTGATACTCACTATGTTTAGAAGGGAAGGAGTGGGAAGAGTCCAGTTTCCTTGTATTTTATTCCAAATTCTTTGTTTTTCTGTGCTGTTTCTTTTTTCTTTGCTGAGAAATTGATTATTCTAAATTCCCCCCTCACCCCATCTTGTGCGTTACGTATGATCAGCAGTAAAAAGACCACACATAATCCAGATGAGCTCCAGTATTGCTTTTAATTTCTATGGAACTGACTGTGTAACTCTATTAAGACTGATGACAAAAGAACTATTTTTGGTGCCTCTTAGAAAGAAACACACTGGAGCCTGTTATTTTCAGTAACCCTGCTGTTCAGAGAGAAAAGCACCAACAAAGCTACTTTTTTTTTTTTTTTATCAAATATCACTAAATTCTCCTGCCTCTGTGGGTTTATCCTTTAGTCTATACATTTGACCAAAAGTGCAACACATCAAGGCTGAACAAGCTCTGCTGGTTGCCTGATTCCAAAAAAAGGAATCAAGGATGTATTGCACTTTTGTTACCCACAGATTATGAGTCTTGAAAACTTTCTTTTTTCTCATCAAATGTTTAACAAGGATGTCGTTTTAGGATCTTATCATGGGAAGTGGTCTGGAAATGTGATCTTTATTCTTCTCAATCTCTGCTTCCACAAACACAAAACCACTTTGGCCGATTCAAATTAAGGTTTGACTGACTTCACCAAGAAACCTGGAAAAAACCTATGATGCCAGAATGTTAAGATTTCCCTTAAACCATTCTGTGTATTCGCAACTCAATGGTGTGCATTTAGTAACAACAGCAGGCTCAGCCTGTTCAGTCATTAATAATCACTGTGTGGAAAAGAGTCCATGGGCTAGTAATCTAGCAAGAAAAAATGAAGTCGAGGGAGCTTGAGTCATCAATGAGAGTGGAGTGAACTTATATTAAATCTCTAGCACTACTCTACAGGATAAATGTGAGAAGCACAATGGAGGTATAATTAAGATAATTTGGAGAATATTTATGTCAGTTCTGAGAACAGAAGTTAAAATAACTGCAAGGTTTTAAATTTGGGTGATTAATAGACTGCAGTAGCTCTAAAATAAAAAAAATCATCAGAAAGAGATGTAGAAAGATAGAGTATAGATAAACAAAATTGGGCTATGTAAGATTAGGGAAGAAAAAACTGGTGATGGGAAATAATATTGTTTGAAATATTTGAATAGTGTAATAGAGAGCATGGTAAACTTATTTCATGTTTTATAGGAGAAAGATTTAAGAGGAATAAGAAAAATTAGGGAATCTGGATCAAAACATTAAAAAATATATCTGTCCTAGCAAAACAATAAATTTAGAAGCCTTGGTAAGAAAACTTCCTCATGAACAACACTAGTGATGTCCAAGTTGAGGTTAATGGGCTCTGAAGTTGCAAGAAGAATTTTTACTTAGAGTGGGAAGCAAGTCATCCTTCACTCCTCCTTGTTCCTGACTTTTTGTTCAGCTCACATATACAATCTGGGACAATGTCTTGTTAATTCTGTATGGTTATGCAGTGAACTAGTGTTTATTGTGTGTTGCACACCAAGTCAGGTACTCAGGTTGCACTGGTGAAGAAACACAGATGTTTCCTGTTCTTACGGGTCTTACATTCTAGTGGGAGTGTGAAACAGTAAATAGAGAAACTAATATATAAAATTATTTGGGGTAATTATACGTGCTGTAGAGAAAAAAAAAAAAAGCTGGCTAATGAGTTAGATGGACCAGGGTAGCTGTTTTGGATAGAGTTTTCAGATATTTTATCTGTGAGAAGTTGATATGTGAGCAAAGGCCTGAATGTGGAGGAGGAGCCAGGTAAGCACATCTCTGAAGAAGAGTTTACAGGCAGAAGGATCATCCTCTAGAGGGCTTGAAAGGAGATTGAGAGGTTTGAGGACAAAGACCATTCTAGTGCACCTGGAGCAGAGTAAGCAGCAGACAGAGTGATGGAGATAAGATTCGGGAGAAAGAAAAAGCACTCACTCATGCAGGCCAGGGACCATTGCAGCAAGCCAGATGTTACTCTAAGTGGTGTGTTGGAGCCACTGCAGGACTTTTGGAGGTGGTAGTTATGATTCTGGTCACTCTAACTTCTGTGTGCACATCGACTGGGAGCTGGAGGGTGGGGACAAGAGTGAGAAGAGAGTGAAGGGTGAGAAAGCCTTTGCAATGGTCCAGGTGAACATTCACAGTGACTTTGAGAGGAAGGGCAATGTGGAGAAGATAGGGAGGGATGAATCACTGCCACTGCAACAGGGATAAGTTTTTGGCAATTGAGCCAAGACATATTGATGAATTGCTTATATGTGCATGAAGGGTCTAGCCAGGAGAAGGGTGGAAAGGGAAGAAGAGGAACCAAAGTGATTTTAGGTGTTTGTCTTTAGCAACTGAGTGATATGCACAGAAACAAGGAAGAATGGGGAGGAGTAGGCTGTGGGTGTGGCAGGAATTGGGAGAAGATTCAGCTGTCTTGGTTGAGCCCAGTGTGTGGAGTTTACACAATATCCAGGTGGAGATACAGTGTATCTATATCTGTATCTGCCTATAGGTCATGTATGGCTATCCACACACATGGATTTTTTATATTGGACATTTAGAAAACTGAGAATTAAAATATGTATATTTGGTACTGTGAACCCAAAAGTATCTGAGACAGGTCTCAATCAATTTAGAAGGCTATTTTGCCAAGGATAAGGACATACCTGTGACAGCCTCAGGAAGTCCTGATGACATTTACCCAAGGTGGTCAGGGTATAGTTTGCTTTTATACATTTTAGGGAGACAAAATATATCAAACAATACATGTGAGGTTTGCATTGTTTTGATCTGGAATGGTGGTAGAACTTGAAGCAGAAGTTCCAGGTCCTAGGTAGATTTAAACATTTTCTGATTGACAGTTGGTTTAAAGAACTATTATCAGTACAAAGGAATTTCTGGGTTACAATAAAGGGTTGTGGATACTCAGGTTTTATCATGCAAACGAAGCCTCCAAGTATAGGCTTTATAGAATAGACTGTAAATATTTCTTAACAGACTTAAGGTTTGTGTTGATGTTAAATGCTGGTCAGCTTTTCCTGAGTTCCAAAAGGGAGGAGAGGATAATAAGGCATGTCTGACTCCCCTCTTCCCTGAACTAGTTTTTCAGGTTAACTTTGGAATGCTTTTGGCAGAGAGGAGGGGTCTATTCAGATGGCTGGTACCGGGGGCCACTTAAAATTATCTTTGGTTGACAGTTTCATCAGTGTATAGAAGGAAAGAGATGAAATCACCAAAAGAAAGACTGACAATAACAAAGAGAGGTCTCAGGACTAAGCCTCCTGAAGAATGGGATTCCCTAGATGGATAGGATGGTCCCACGGAGATTGTCAAGAGTCACGAAGTACGAGTGGAAAACAATTTCTACTGTAGCAACATGGAGTCAGAACAAGATGGAAATCGAAGATTGGCTGTTGGACGTGGTAAAGTGAAAGTCCTGTGAACACTGAAAAGAAGCAGGTTTGATGGAGCACTGGGGTGTTTGATTGGAGTGTGTTCAAGAAAGAATGTGGGGGAAGAGTGTGGGTGGCTTTAGCAAGAAGATTTGTTGTTGAGGGGAGCAGAGACAGCAGGCAGCAATGGAAGAAATAGAAGGCCTGTTTTGAATTTAAGATGAGATGATGTCTGTACGTAGATGTGAGGCAGAAACTGATGATGCAGTTATCATCAGAAAAGAATGAATTGCTAGAGCAAAATCTTTGAGTAGGCAAGAGGTTATGGCAAAGAGTATAGAGATCAGTAGATTTATGGTGGTCAGATAAGGCAGATCAAAGTTTTCATTATATTGCTTTATTTCTTAATGATGTAAAAAGGCAGTTCTTTGGAAAAACATGACAAAGGGAAAAGACTAAATGCATATGGAGAAAGAGGAAGTTTTGAAATCATGTACTCAAAAAGGGGAAAAGCAAACTTACTAAAGAAATGTAAAGGGATTGCTGGACAGTACTGAGGACTTAGTTGATACGTGTGATTAAAAAATAAAGATGAGTCCATTCATTATGCTTGCATTTAAAAAAATACATTCACATTCAGTTGATCCAGTATGGGGGTAAAGTAGACTGAGGTATACAATTATTTGAGTTACAGTTTTGCCAGGCTAGTATGCACACAAGAGAGAAGCAAGATAACGGAAAGTATTTGTAAGGAAATGGTTGTACTGAGTATATTGATGATGAAAAACCTAAGTTGGGAGGAGAGGAAATGAGGATTAAAAATGGAATATGAACATGGAAAAATTCACTTGAATGTGGTAGGTAGATTCTCAAGATGGTCTCCTTGAGTTACTCTGGTGCTATGGTTGTGTTAAATGACAAAAAAGATTTTGAAGATGTAATTAAGGTTGGTGAGCCATTGACTTTTAAGATAGAAAGATTGTCCAGGTGGGCTTAAGTTAACTTCATGAGTCCTTTAAAAGCAGAGTTTTCTCTGAGGATGTAGAAGTTTGAGAGATTCCAAGGACGAGAAGGATTTCATGCACCATAATAGGCTTGGAAAAACATGTTATGAGGAATGTGCACAGCCTCCAGGAGCTGAGATTGGCCGCTATCTAACAGTCAGGAGGAAAGGAGGACCTTAGGCCTACACCAACTAGGAGCTGAGTTCTTCCAAAAATCTACATGAGTTTGGGAATGTATTGTTCCCTGAGTCTCCTGAGAGAGCTCATCCTGACTCGCACATTGATTTCTGCCTTGTGAGATGGTAAACAGAGAAGAGAGTTGAGCCTGCCTGGATTTCTGATCTATGGTCTAGGAACTCAATGATAGGTGTAGTTTTAAGACATTATGTTTGTGATATCTTGTTACACAGCAATAGAAAACTAACACGATGGCCAAAAGAGTGTAGATTTTACTGAATTTGAAGGTAAGAAAAAAGGAGGAAGTATTCAAATAATCAAATGCATAAAACTGTAATTTTGGAAGTGAGACTGCTATTGGTGTTACAACAACCTTACAGTGTGAAGAAAAAAGAGATGTTGAGGCAAGTTGTAGGAAAAACTATTTAGAAGACAGAAGATAAGAAGGACCTTGGGTGCCAAGAGCAGAGAGAATGTGGAATTAGACATTTGGCCTTTCTTCCCAGTGACACCCAACGCCATCTACCCCCCAACCCCACTATACCTGCATTTCTGGTCCTTACATATTGTGGCCCTAGAAAGCCTTCCTTGTCTTCTCCAGGACAAAATGTGTAGTTTTGTTCCTCCCAAAATTTGATTTCAGAAAAACTAACCAAGTATGACAGCTTGTTTGCTTACCTGTTTTATAAAGCACCTTATAAGTGGGCATTGTATGCTGTTCACCACTCAATATCCAGCACTTGATCAGGATTTCCCATGGGATTGGTTCTCCTTTCTAAATAGAATCCAATGTTTATTAAAATAAAAGCATATTAATGAAAATTCTGAATGTCTAATATTACATATGTATGTGTACATGCATATTCCTTCCTACTTAAATTTAACTTATTTGCATTAGCTGAATGATTTCCCTTACTTCAACAAAGCCTCATTTTGTCAATTTTGTCAGAGCTCCTTGGGGCTCTATTACAAACTAAGATGTACTTTCTGTGTCTGTATTCTGTGTGTTGTCAGAACTAGCACATCCCTAATGTCACATAACTACTTACGTCCTCCTAATTTGGATATACACTGGTCTGGCCAGAGTGGCTTATTCACCACCTTGGCAAAATCAAACAGATTACACGCACTTTGACAAAAGAAATGGAGGCATATTTTAAATATTTGTTTTTCAAAGCACACCAAGCATATATTTTTATGGCTTAAAAATATTAAATCAATTAATCACAGAAATTAAAATGATAATACAAACAAAGCACATAAACTAGAGACACATTCAAGTTTCAATATATTACCATTACAACTCTCACGGCCATTTCAGCAACAATTGGATGTAGTGTCTAGAAACAGACTACATAAAAAAATGAAAGCAATTCATTTTTGTCATGGGGTGAACTTATAATTCAAGTTCCTATCTGTAATTTCCTGTGCTGGTAGTACATTGATCTCAACAGGATTATTGTCTGTGAAATAACAGGGTATAAAATAGAATTTCCCACTGGGACAACGAAATCCTATTGAATAACCCTGAAAGGTGACATCTACCCTGAAGTTTATTATAAGTATACATACCCATTGGATTTGGTCTTTTCTCCTCTGAAAGCCCTGCTTTCACTGGGCCATGTAGGTGGAACCTCAGGCATTAGTATTCCCATCACAGATGTTCAAGGGAATTAAAAACTCAGAGCCTACCAGAATGTTGTGCATACAACAGGAACTTAATAAATGAACATACACATCTATACCTATACAGACACATTCTTGTCTTTCTTGTAACCTGACTGGGTGACTTCAGTCCTTTAAATACGTAAACTCTAATTTATCCAAGAAGAATTTGTCCTAAGCATTTATAATTATATGCATTCTTTTCACCAAAACAGTCCATTGTAACAGAAAAAATAAAATTACATATCCAAGGCATGCCAAAAAAATACACATTTCTAAGCTAAGTGTCTGCCTTAATAAAATATTATGGTAATATTCCCATACCAACAATCATAGCCCTACAATTATTATGTTATGTTGTTCAATATTTTAATGGCTGCACAATATTTTCCTTTTTCTATTAAATATAATAAGGTTTGGCACTTACTATGAACTTCCTTCCTGAAGTTCATGCTGTCTAAATGTAAAGCAATATTGATATAATCATTACTTTATCACACATACTTTTGGTGTCATAATAACTCCTTGGATAATTTTGGATCAGTATCATCATGCTGACTACTAATTTACAAGAAAAATGTTCTATTAACTACTTATTGTATTGAAGATAGCCTTTATTTTGTCAAGAAGTATTTGTTATTGTTATAGAGAGTTTTGTGTCAAGATTATTCACATCTATCCAGAGCAGTATTAGAAATACCAGCAGAAGTTTCCTGTAGGACAATAATACCAGCATACAGTGGGTGTATCGGTAAGAAAAGTTCTCTTTCAACTATTCATTCTGTATGATAAATGATCGTTTTTTGGCATCAAACTTGATTTTTCCTAGGAGAATTGCTTCTCTTACCCTGAACCTTCTAATCTTGGCTGGGCTTTGAAGCAGGTGCCTTACCCTCTTCAAACCATACCTGGGCACATGACTTGAATTCTGAAAGAAGTAGCTTAATTTCTGAAAATTAGAGTGAACAGCAGCATTCTGAAAAAAGTGATTATTCCAAGTCCCTAAACCAGCAATCTTCAGAGCTGTCCCAGCTCCCTTCCTTTCTGAGGCTGGCTTTGGCATTTTCTCATTTATTTGAGGTACGCCATGTACTTCCAACACATTCCATTGTTCCTTGTTAGCCAAGTTTCTTCATGTTTCCTGCCAGCAAAGAACTCGAATAGGACAGGCCCTGTAATTGGGCAGGAGCCTATTAGCATGATCTCCAGAGAGGTCTGTAGACAAACTCTCATTCCAGGCATTCAATTCTAAGCTCAGAAACTGATGTGGACCATGCTCCATTGGTAGGGAGGCTGCTGGTGATAAATGGAAAGAAATCTGTTCCTAGCTGAGCACACTGTGACAGACCTGTGCATGATTATTATACCCTGAACAATTATCGTGCTGTGTGATTACATATTGACAACTTAAAACTAGCCCTAATAAAGGGTTCCCTAACAGATATCTATGCCGCTAGCCTACATGAAGAAATAACTGCCCCAGATTTGATATATATTTTCTCTTATGTATGGGTTTAAAGGAAGAGACTTCTAGGTCTAAAAGGTCATTTGCTCATTCCGACATCATCATGCACAACCGTGTAATTCCTGGTGATGATTTTGGCTTCTGGAAGTTTAAACTTCTGTTCTAGATAAATATTGATTTTTCTATCAGTTGTACCTATTCCGTCGCCTTCCTTCTGCATCTTTATGTATGCAGACCTTGTTTGGTTTTAGTCTTTTAGTTTGAGCAACTAGTAATGTGTCAATCCAATGGTTGATCACTTGTGATTTTTGTATATTGATCCAATTCTAAGTAATCTTTTCATAATTTTGTGTTATGCATTATTTCCTACATTTAAACATAGTAGCCTGCTTATTGTAAGAAAATAATTCAAATATTTAAATGTTAAAAAGTTGCCCTTAATGTTGGTTGTTTATTTGTTTATTTTTGTTTTTAAATAGAATTAGTTACCTATAAGACCTGGTTTCTAAATATAGCCCTTTCAAAAAGCCTTGTAACCATTAATATTCAAACTCAGATGCATTATTTTTTAAGTAGATACTAGCAAAACCTGTTGGGTTAACTCACAGAGTTGTTAAAATTGAATGCTACAGAATCAAAGATTTCTACTCCTGGAAGCAAATTTAGACTACAATAGTCCAAACCTGTCATTTTACAGATATAAAATTGAGGTCCAAAGAGTGTGAGTAAATTGTCAAGATTCGGGAGCTTTAAGGACACTGTAAAGGATATAAAATAGATTCTAAATGTAATGTGCAAACCAATGCAAAACGAGACAAAAAACAAAAAACCCAGAAACTGTAATGTGATGTAAAATGGAAGATTATATGCTTTCCATTAGTTCTTCGAATCAGTTTATTCCTAATATGGCACGTAGGGTGATTGAGGAGTAAGATGTGATTTGTGTAAGGGAAAGTACCCAAAGGCTGAGAACTCTGTCTGACAGAATTATAGAGATTGAAAGGAAACCTTTAGGAACGTTGTTTATATTTGACATAGATCACCTGTTTTTATATCTTTTCTATGAAATGATGGCATCTGTTAAAGTTGGAATAGTGAAAAAGAAAAGGGACTTCTGGAATAATTTGCGAGTTTTTACATTTGTATTTATCTTCATTCTTTCCTGAGAGGGAAAAATGAATTTGATAGATTGCATAATGTGTTTGACCTTATTAAGAGATGTTTTGCATTTATACGGAAGAGTTCGAAAAAATTAGAGATCGATGGTTAGAAAACTAGGGACATTTATTCATTCATACTTTAGTTTTTGCCTTTAACACATTTTACAGAGCTCCTCCATCAGGCATTGTTTTAGTGTACCAACAAGACAACGGCTGGGTGGTAGTTTGGGAAGTGTTGCAGCTGGCAGTTTGGAGGAATGGCAAAGGCGCCAGAGGCTGAGGCAGAACAACATTCAGAAGGGCTACAGATAGGCAGAGGGCAATCAGCCCAAGCCAGTGTAGGGCCTGCCCTTGACTACAGTGGAGGTGGGAAATCTTGGCAGGGCTTTGAGCAGAGACTTGTGTGTCAACAGGATCATGCTGGCTGCCCTGTTGAGAATGGAATGTAAGGGCAAGGACAGAAGGAATGTGATGGGTGAGTAGGATTATGTGTGACCTGAAGGGAAGAATTGTTTGTGCCTTGGATGCAACTGTGGTGAAAGGAGCCTAGACTGGGGACATATCTGAGGGTAAACCTGCCACGACTTGCAACCTGCATATGGGATAAAGAAAAGAGTGAAGGGAGAAGTCAAGTTTTTTGGCTTGGGGAAGAGGATGAAGTTCCCATTGGCAAATGTGAACAATTTCCTGCAAGAGGCATTTAGGGACCAGAGTGGAGGTCATGGAGGTTGTGTAAAATCAGAAGTTTCATTTGAAGCATAGTTATGGTAAATATCTATTAGTCATCCAAGTAGTCATGTAGGGTGGATGGTCCAATATTCAAGTTAGGATCCAAGAAAGAAGTCCAGGCTGAATGCAAAATATGGTGTTATTGGCAAGGAGATGATATTTAAGCCTTGCATGCAATCCAGGTCAGGAAGGGTGTAGGCATGGGTAGGATAGTGGGCTGGTCCAGGGGCTGATCCCCGCATTACTCCAGCCTTTTGTAGGTGAGGAGACAAAGGAAACCAGTGAGAGAGCGGAAGGAGTCACTAGCGAGGTCCAAGGAAAGCCAGTGTTCTGTGGGGTTTTAAAACAAAGTAAAGTGTTTTTAATGAGGGGCAAGTGATCAACTGTGGCAAATGTTGTCACTAACTCACGTATTAGGAAGATAAAAATTATCACTGGATTTAGTAACCTTGTTAAGAGCAATTTTCAGGAAATGGGGCAAAGCTCATCTGAGTAGGTTCAAGAGTGAATGGAAAGAGGATGTGGAGACAGCAAGGGCATGAACTTATTTTGGGAATGTCTTTGAAAAAAAGAGCAGGGAAATGGAATCATAGAAGCTGAAGTGGGGTCAGGAGAGGTTTATTTATTAATTTTTTGTATGCCTGTATACTAAATGGAATTATTTAGTAAGAGGAAAAAGGAAATAAAAAAATCATTGCATCTATTTAGTTTTCTAATGAATTTCCCACAAAATTAATTTTAACTTTGTAGGTCTGTAAAATTTCTCAGCCCTGATCAATTATTAGACAAATTTACATGTCCACAGAGGGTTGAATGGTCAACAGCTCTCCAGCATGATACAAAAGTTCATGCAATCATTTTCACCCTTATTTCAAAGCTGTGAATCATTTTCCTGAGTAGTGACATTTATGGGACTTTGTGCCTATTGGTAAGAGTCGGCTTTGCTTAGAGCACAGGGTGTCCAATGAGTATGATAAGAATATCTGGGTATAACATTTGATGCTAGTTTGGGTTCTCATTCAAAGGATGCAAGTCATCAGGAGTGAGATGGTAGGCAAGAAACATTATTAGTTGCTCAAAAATGAAAAAAGAAATGGTCCAATATTTCTTTTTTGTAAACAATGTCTATAGAGGTAAGATGTAAGCAATGCATATTTATTTTTAACAATATTAGAAAAAGATGAAGGGTGTGACTGAATTGGGTTAAGTAAAAGTTAAATTCTGATACTTCACAATAGGAAATCACAGCTAATATCTAAAATTGGCAAACCAGTAATATCAGTGTGAAATGAATATTCAGAAATAGAGAGTGCCAGAGGAAGCTGAATGGAGAATTGCTTTCTCCTGGGAGTGGCATTAGGGGCAGGCGGTGATGGGCTAGGAGTAGGAGACTGCTTTCCATGAGGTGCGACTTACGCTGTGGCTCCTCAATTCAATTTAAACATAGAGAAAGAGGAGCAGAAGCAAGGCTGTAAAGTGTGGTGGGCAAAGTTCTACGTGTGGGACCTTTCCCTCGGGCCTCGTATTTTCTAAGTGAAGAGACGTATTATGTGAAGACCTACATTCTCAGTATATGCTGCTTTTAAAGTTGACACAATTACTTCAAAATGCATTCTTAATGTTTAGGTATATGGGACATTACTTCATACCTACAGGGTCACTATGAAGCAAGTGAAATCTTAAATTTTATTTACTTTCAATCTGCATTCTTTTATCCAGATTTATTTATAATACAATTTATTTAACAACATTAGAAATTTTCTCACTGAGCCTCTACATGCGGTAGCCAAAAGGTATAACATGATTGTTTTAAATAACGAAAGCTAAGTAGACTCTCATGTGTTAAAGGGACTTTCCCCTTTTTTCCACCTATTACATTTTCTTATTGAAGGTTAAACAGGGTAACAAATGATATGCAAAATTTTTTCCTGTGACAGTTACCTTGACATGAAGTATAATCAGCATATATTTGAAATCCCCAGAGAAGAGGTTCTAGTTTTTGTTTTTTTTAAAATCATAGGTTTAAAAAATTCTAAAAGAGCAATGAATAACAATTATACACTTAGCTCACTGGAGATGCTGAGAATTTGGTTACAGTCTAATAAAGACCTTGAACTGTGGGGGTAAATCTTTCTTTTCTTTTTCATTTTCTTTTTCTTTTTTTTTTTATTTAGAAAACAGCATTAAAACAATCTGATATTATGGCCGTCAAAATGCTTATCCAGGCATTCTGCAAAAAGTGAAAATGTCTATATACTTGTGGCCAAGAAAGAAAAGAAAACTATCAGTTTCTGGCTGCTTGAGCATAAATCTGAAGTCACTGTGTATCTATGTAAACGTAAAAGCAAAAGAGGAGATGTGTCAGACTCCGTGGCACCAGGCTGATCACAGAATAAAGTGAAGAAATTCCCCCTGCACAGCTGATGGTGCCTGTTGCTGAGACAAATACAGAGAAAAAACTTCTTACTATTTTCTACCATTGTAGAGTCTCCTTTTTTTTTTTTTTTTTTTTAAATTTAAAGAGTTCCTGCACATGGTAGATCTGACTACGAATCGGGGAGAGTAGTTAGAATACTAGCTGGCTTGCTCTACTGAAATTTCTGAAGAGATAACTCTTCTTGAAAATGGTGGTACATATCTAGGAAATGGTTTATGTAAATGGTATCTTCAAAAATGAAAGAAAAAGGAAAGAAAATACTGCTGTATATTTTGGAGTCAATAAAAAGTTGTTAAATGCCCCATAATTCCTGACGTCTCTGTCTTCCATTATGATGACAAATAAATTTTTGAAAAGCTAATTCTCAGAATGAAAACTCTGAGAAACGGCAAGACTGTCATATATATTATATATATGATACATATGTGCATATACACACATGCATATTTATGGTGTACATATATGTGTATATATATATCTTAAATTAGCTATAGTTATTGTAACACAGAAAACAATAGCACACGAAAAATTATTAAAAATTGTTTTTGATAATCCCAGTTGATCAATTAATCAAATTCACAAAACTTTGAACAATCCAATGCCAGGTACCCTGGCTAAGGATAAGAGGATCAGCGTGGGCCTCCTGTCTTACCCACGTTCAGGGCTGATCATGGGGTCGGTGACGGAAGAAGTTTTTATGACCCTTTCCAGAGAGAAGCATCCCTGCCTCCTTTGAAATGCCACTGCAATTTATCTCTGTCTTTCTGATGCTAGAAATCATTATCTACACATTTTGGTTATGTTAATAACTTAAGGTTAGTAAGCTTTTATTAGACTCAAAATTATTTGATAACATCCTTCCCTTTTTCTCTGCCACAGTTTCTGTAAGAGAAACAAGAGGGTGTTCCCAGCATCTGTTTTGTACAAGTTGTGCTAATAGGTTTTTGTTTGCTTGTTGGCTTGTTTTGCTTTGCTTTGTTTTCTAAACATTGATTGCTTGCAAGATGAAGCACCTGAGGTTTGGAAATTGTGTGTTTAATTCATGCATTAAAACAAAAAATTCGTTGCAATAGCTTTAGGGATACAGGGAGCTTTTGGTAACGTGGATGAATTGTGTAGTGGTGAAGTCTGGGCTTTTGGTGTATTTGTCACCCAAATAGTGTACATTGTACCCAGCGGGTAGTTTCTCATCCCTCCCTCACCTCTACCCTCCCTCCTTCTCAGTCTCCAATGTGCATTATAATCCTTACTGCCTTTAAGGCATGCATTTATTATGCTACGCTTCCATGTTTTTCTCTAGCTGTGTCTCGCTTTGAAGCCCAGCTCTCACCTTTCTAAAGCAGTGTCTCAGTGACTCGGAGAAGGACCTGTTCAATATCATTGTCAATCCATGAATATGAATGCCTAAGTCACCTGCTTGGCTCCACTGTCTACTCAGCACGCCCTCCTTTGTTTTAGAGGCTACCATGGTGGTGTTTCTTCCCCTAGTGACTCATTTCCCCCCACCTATTTTCTTCCCATTTCCTTAGTTTCCCCTAAGACTGGAAGAATGCAGAGAATGGAGATGGGGTTGTTAAACTCAGCACTGCTGCTTCGGCTCCTGTTTTCCTTGGCCACTGCCTTCATGATCACGTCTAACAATCCCGTCGTTCTGTTGGCTTCGGGACACCTTCCTTGCAGCACTCACCACCTTCGCAATTTGCATTTATTTTTCTTCATATTGAGGACAGTTCTCTCCCTCATTGAAGTGCAAGGTCTCTGAGGTCCAGGCAGCATCTATTTTCCTCTAACATTTGACTTTTCGATCCTTGCAACAGTGCCTGGCTCATGGACCTGTTTACGTAATAAACCAATACATAGATCATTGTTGGCACTCAGAAAACAATACCCCAACGTGAAGGCCTCAGCAGTTTCTTCAGAAGCAAAAGTTTTTCTCTGACCTTCTCCTGCCCTCCTGTTTCTCAGTCCCATTTCCAGAAATCCAGCCAAAAAAACTAAACAGTATTCTATGTAAAAACTAGCCATAAAGAAATTATCTGACCTTCTTTTTTTGACTACAGGTCATCAGACCCTCATTCCTCAAAGGGCGCTGCCCCACACCCGGAAGGAAGGAGCGCTGCTCAGAGAGGCCAAGAAGAATCTAGACAGACAGGCCTTGCAGGGTTTCCCCACTCAGTCTATTAGCATCAGCTCGGGCCTTTTTCGTGTCGTCATATTTCTGCATAGCCGTCCATACTTTGTTGAATCTAAGGATACATATGAACAATTTCCCATATATTTTTGGGTCTCCCTTGTGAAGGCTCTCGTGTAGATGTCATTAAGTACATTTCTGTGCCTTGTCATCACTTATTAATCAATCTGCTTCATGTCAGTGATTTTGCTGTAGGACTTTCTTCTTAGTTCAGCTAAAAGCCGGGTTCTTATACAACCATAAGAGATCAGGCTCACAGACACTCTGAAGGGTGAGAAGGGCAGGGCTTACTGGGTGAAAAGGGAACAAAAGGGAAACAAGGACTCTCAGCAAAGCGAGACTCCACCCCAGAACAGGAGAGGCCAGGCTCCTCCCCACTGCAAAACAATGGCACAAACTTTCTGAGGCTCCATCCCGTTCTCCCCATGCGCAGGCTGGTCGGAGGTTCTCTGGGGACCCCTTTATACTCAGCTGTCTCAGTTTTTCAGTGAACCAAGGCCAAGGCTCTTGGCCCTCACATCATCAAAAAATGAAAGTTGCCTGTAGGGTTGTGTATATTTTCCCAATTCAGTATTTTATATTTCATTTTATTTCCTTTTTCTAATTTTTCTAGTTAGGATTTCCACAGAAGCATATTAAACCCTAAAGATGATTGCATGCCTCCTGGCTTGTTCTTGATTTCACTGAGGTGTTTGCAGCCGTATATGATTGAGCCTAATATTGAATGTTACTTTGAGATATGCTTTTATCAAGTTTCAATGATTTGTTTTTCCTTCCGTAGGGATACATGCTTAATATTATCAAAGGCTTTTGGCAGTTGTGAAGTGGTCCTCTGGGGTCTTTTCTTCTACATATTAATATGGGACTAAATTATATATTTTAAAATATTGAATCAATAGTTCTTGGGGATGAACTGTACCTGGCTGATACATTATTCCTTTGATATACTTTTGAAGTATAATGTGTTTCAATGCTCTCAGGTTAGTTTTTTTCTTTTTTGTCTATAGGTTTTTCTCTTTCATTTTAGAGTGCTTTCTGTCCTTGGCTTTGGTATCAATTTAATTTGGTTTCACAAGAAGAATAATTTTACAACATTAATTTTTCCCTGTGTTCTGGATGAATTTCTCAAAAGGAAGACATTTCCTTTTCTTAAAAGTTTGAAAAAAGTTGTTCATTACATTGTCTATGGTGATGACGTTTAGAAGGACAACTTTTCAAATTACCTCAGGGTCTCTTTAGGTATCTCAGTAATAGTTTAGTAATCGTATTTTCCCAGGAAGGCCTAGAATCATCTGTTTCTTCAGATTTTCAAATCTGTGGCATGGGCTTGCCCCGTGCATCTGGTAGGCCACCTTATAATTCTTTCCATTTGCTCCGGTTCTGGATGGTTTCTCTTGCCGTGTCTGATTCATAACTCCATCCCCAGCCCCCTGCAATCTCCTTCACTGGCTGGGGGCTGCCTACACAGAGTGGAGCCTCCTATAGGTACCTGGACTACTCCCTGAGAGGCGGTTCATGCAGAGAGTTCACATCAAACAGCTCCTTCTCCCAACATAGACCACAGGAAACAGAAACCCTAGACTGCTGCCCCATCAATCTAATTTAAATGGAGAACTGAAGAATGTTGCACAAGGCTGGAAGCTGCCCTTTACTTGGACACGTAAAGGTCCCATGTCTAAGTTCTTCCCAGCATTGTCTTCATAGTGATTTTAATTTTCTTTGCTGGGGTCCACGCGGTCTTGGCAATGGCAAACTCCTCCTTAGATACTTGTTCCTCATAAAAGCGCACTCATTCAAGCATTTCTTATAAGACCAACCATCTCTTCCTTTTTCATTTCTCTCTTATGAAGCCATTGTGATATTCTAAATTGGTGTGAAGCCATGAACGATTCCACGTTTCCATGGAAGAGCACATGCACTCCTCACATGTGCAGGTCTCACCTCGCTCCAGATTTACAGTGTGCAGTATTCATAAGGTTTCGAAGTGGAATGTACTGTAGAGCATTGCAAGGTTATTTAATACTTGAGAGCCTACCATTAGCCAGCTAAGGAAACGAAGGTAAGTCTAAATGGAAAAGTTGTTCCCAGACTTCAGGGAGCATATGTTTTTGTAGGAAACAGGCAATAAAAATAATCAAACCTTGGTAGTGTGCAAAGTGTTAGAAAGAAAATAAATAAGATGATGTAATGGTAGTAGAGCAGGGAATAAGCCAGTGTGCACTCTACAAGACGGTCAGGAGCAGATGCTCAAAGGGTGAGAATACCAGCCATTCATATCATGAGCTGTGGCTGGTGTTCCCACCCTTTGAGCATCTGCTCCGGCAGTTAAGGAGCTGCAGGGCAGAGTAGTTCACACCAAGTGGGGAGGGTAGGCAGGACTCCACTCTAAGTGTAGCGGGAAGTCTTTGATGGGAGGATTTTGTCTAGCTCAGTCTCATTTTACTGCTCCTAAAGAGGGGATTCTGAAGCAGAGGGAAGGGTAGGAAAGTTGCTAGAACCAGTAAAAAAATCACTATGAGTGGGCAACAATACTGGCAGTGAGGAAGAGGAGGAAGGCATTGACTGTAGAAATATCTTGGAGATGAATCCTACCAACCTTGATGTTTAATGTCGGACTTAAGAAACGTGCATGGCATTCACTAAGATGTGAAAGGTATGGCTGTTTCAAAACAGCAGTAACTCTTTGAGACAAGGTATGGCTGTTTCAAAACAGCAGTAACTATTTGAGACTCATCAGAGGTCCTAGGCAGCAAAGTAGGCAACAGAATTGGGTGTTCTGTTTTTTCATCAGCTTGGGAGTGACATTTTGCTAAGCCCAGCCTTTAAGGTTTTCTCTCAGGCTATCTTATAATCATCTTCTTCATTTTGCCAATTTCAAAATGGGAAATTGTCTTGCTTTCTACTGGCCATTTCTTTATGAACCCACAGCACTTTATAGTCTTCTATTGATACCATCTCTCTTTGTTGTATTACATACACTGAGCACATGTCTGTACAGATAGGTTAAAATAGCTGAGGCTTTTTTTTAGATAAAAATATTCCAGGAAAAAGAAGGGATCCAGATAAGTTAGTATTAGAATATCTGCAAAGATTTACTTGTTAATTTTTATTTTAATTTTTATCTAATTTATATAACTTTACGGGCAGATGTTACATTCAAATTTTGTGTATAATAGACAAGAAAACTTTCAAAAACACATTATGGAGAAAACAATATAGTGTTATTAATTTAATATTTTTTCAAGTAAGAACATTAAAAGCATAAAACTACAATTTTGTGACACCATTATTTCAAAAAATTAATGATGTTTTAATACCTATGAAGGAGGAAGGGCGATAATTTCTGAAGACAGTTTTTTTGTTTGTTTGTTTAATTCAATAACTGTAAATTTATTTTTAAAAAAGTCATAATGTTGCTCTTATTTTGCCCATTTCTCTCTTGATCTGTGAAAACATCCTCATAGAACTTTAGTCCAAGGACAGCAATTGGTATCAGAGCGTAAGAGATGGAAGAAAACAAGTGACACATTCTTTACTTCTGCTTAGAACTGCTGATTTAGAGTATCATAATGACAATACCCTATTTTCTTCTTCATTCTCATTATTATTATTATTATTATTATTATTATTATTATTGAGATGAAGTCTTGCTCTGCCACCCAGGCTGGAGTGCAGTGGTGCAGTCTCAGCTCACTGCAACCTCTGCCTCCCAGGTTCAAACAATTCTCTTGCCTCAGCCTCCCGAGTAGCTGGGATTACAGGCGCTCGCCACCAAGCCTGGCTAATTTTTGTATTTTTAGTATTTTACTTATAGAATTCCATGATGCCAAATTATATTTTATAGATAACAAATAGAGAGCTGTGTCCCCTGACTTGTCACCTCTACAGAACACATTGAGATAACAGGAAACGGCCATATATTCTGGAAAGAGAAGAGGCTGAATAAAGAGAGATGAGGATCCTTGGGGGAGAGACTTGAGTGACCACAGTGGGAAAACATGTCACTCCTTCCTGGGGAGAAAGGTCAGGTGTTTGAGTGTGCGACCCCTGAGTTTCACAGTAAAGGGGTCTAGTTTGGATGCAGTTGAGAAAGGCCACTGGCTACTGATGTAGCCTGAGTCCAAAGAGCAGAAAGTGAAGCCTGTTAGTTACAGAGATTGCTGAGGACCCCAGAGGGGTGCCTCAGCATTGCAGGACTGTGAGTGGAGCCACTTCACAAGAGCAAAAGCATCAAAAATGACCATCTTGAGCTGCCCTGAAGTGCCAGCATCTGCTCAGCTTTGTATATGATTACATTGCATCCTCATGACAACCCTATAAGGAGGTCATAATAACTTGCTCATTATTGAATGGTTTTGTATTCTAATTAGATTATCTAGTTATCACTTAAGAATCTGTCCCAAAGCTTCTTATTGTTTCTAAGAGCACAGTTTTGAAGTATTTTCAAATAGGAAGCTTCCTGGCATATGATTTTCCTAAGGACACACATTTAATGGATCCTAGGGTAGAGTGCAGCAGAATAAAGTTTGAGCTGCTTGTGCAAAGCTAAGTGTGCAGGATATGCAGGGCCCAGAATCAAGGTAGGCCTAGCTGATGCCTCCTTGCCTTTAATTGCTCCCTGTGTTCTGCCTAAATCATTTAGACTGGGCCTGTACAAGAGGAGTGAATTTTATGATGAAAGGGAACCAATGACTTCCTAGCTTCATGTCCCCACCACTGAATGAGTGTGGCCCAGCTATGCCCACCCCTAGCCTGCAGGGTGCAGTTGAGGTAGCGCCAGCTCCCAGGCTGTTGTTGGGAGCATAGGCTCCAGGCAGAGGAGAAATGGAGAGGAGGAGAGGGAAGGGGAGCCCGGAACAGGACCACCTCCACATGGACTTAAGGAAGGAGAAGCCCTATGCCCATGACCTTGCTGAAGAGGACAAGTGGAGGGTATTTCAGGGAAGAAGAGAGGCTGAAAGCATCCCTACAGGAAGAGGAGCCAATGCCACAGTCATTGGAAGCCGTTGCTGCTTCCATTGTCCCGTGATGGTGAGAGGTCACCCTGGGAAGACAGCCCATGCACAGCCCCTTCCTACACCCTCTTCCCCACTTCCAGTAGAGATGTGTTCTTAGGAAAACAAACCTTGAGGAAGCTTCTGTATACAAGGACCTAAAAAACGTGCTGTTAGAAAGAATATGAAGCTTTGGGATGCTAACTAGACAACCTAATTAGAGTCTCAAAATACACATTCATCTTACTGCAGGAGATGTCCAAATGCCTGGTCCTGTGGTCCTGTCCAGTAAGAATGAAAGAGAAGCCAAGAGTTACCAATTGCAAGGCTTAATGCCAGGTGTACATTTGTGCATCTGTCCATTGAATAATTACAAAAACATATGTGGAATTACTTACCTTTTCCAAAGAAGAAAGCTGGAGCTTGGATAGGTTATAAGTAGAAATACGTAGGATCTTAACTAGAAAGTGAAGGAGTTGGCCTTCAAAAGCTGCTCTGTCTGACCCAGGAGTCTTTTCTGTGTGGCTGCTAAAGTCATCCACACTGTGTATTGCCCAGTATGGAAATTTCAAGAATTTTTTGCTTTGGATGAGGAATCCGTAAAAATCCTAATGACCCCTCATATGGTTTGGCTGTGTCCCCACCCAAATCTCATCTTGAATTGTAGTTCCCATAATCTCCACATGTCGTAGGAGGGACCTAGTGGGAGGTAATTTAATCATGGGGGCGGGTACCCTCATGCTAGTATGGTGATAGTGAGTTCTCACGAGATCTGATGGTTTGAGAAGAGGCTTTCCCTGCCCACACTCTCATTCTTCTCTCTCTCCTGCTGCCTTGTGAAGAAGGGCATGTTTGCTTCCCCTTTTGCCATGATTGTAAGTTTCCTGAGGCCTCCCTAACCCTGTGGAACTGTAAGTCAATTAAACCTCTTTCCTTTGTAAATCACCCAGTCTCAGGTATGTCCTTACAGCAGTGTGAGAACAGACTAATACAACCCCTCTTTCCTACAATGTTTCCAATCACGCATAGTCCTTGGCTGGATCAGCCGAGGGGCATACCCTGACCAGGAGCAAAGTTAGGTCTCAAAACCACTCACATTTCCACTGTCTCCTTCTGCCCACCTTTTCAGAGCCCTGCAAAACACTCCTGATCTATAAACTATCACGCAGACCAAAATCACATACAGCAGGAGCTTAGCTGTGATTACAGATGTGCTGACATAATCAAAATTCTCAAACCCCAACTGCTTTTCTTTAGAAGAAAGTGCAGTATGCTGCCAGGGAAGTGCAACTTCAGCTATCTTTTTATCTGGTGTGAAGTGAGAATGTAGTGATGTCCAGTTGGATTTAGAAAAGGGAATGTTTCTTGTAATTTTTTTGGAGGGTGACCTGGGATCCAGCTTTATGTTAAAGTTTCTAGAATGCACCTTCTTGTTTATCAGAGCTTAAGCATAACTATTTCCTCCCACCCAGTGGTGGCTAAAGCTTTGAGACATCTTCCACCACATCCAATTGTTAACAATGCAAGCTAACCTGAACGGCGAAATCAAAGTCAACTATGCAACCTCAAATTGAATGTCTTGCTGTATCCTTCTACAAGAAGAAATTTTTGCTTGTAAAAGTTCCTGGTCAGGTCAGTGAGGGAAGAAAGGAAACTGGCAGAGAGGGAGTCAGAGAGAAGAGAAAGAACAAACAAATGACCAATCGTCCCATTTACCAAATGCAAGGGCACAATCTAGACTGTTTCCAGTATTGAAGACCATTGCCTGGATACGTTTACTGTGCAAATAAGTGGAGATATAAAAAGAAAAATATTAGATTGGTGAAAAAGTAATCGCACCAACATAATGTTTGCAATTACTTTTGCACCAACCTAATAATTAAGAAAATATTTATAAGCTTAGAGTATGTGATTGCTATTCTTACTGCCACTACCAACAACTCATTCCTACTAATCCATTGCTTTCCAGAACAGTGATTTTATACTTTTTAAATGAGAGTGCAAGTAAGAAGGAGCAAAAATTTCCACAATCCAAAATCTCCTTTTCCCCACTTTTCTCTGAAAAAGATATCAGTGACACACAAAGAAATGTCATGTCCAAAGAAATTTTTGGAGAGATAATGTTAAAACTTTCTTCATAATGAGATAAGGATGCTGAACAATTTTGCCGTCACACACACATGTTTAAGAGCACTTAATGCAAATTGATAAAATCACATTATGGATTAACCAAGTCAAAGTGCTTAACTTGAAAATGATTAGAGTGTACTATTTAATTTTTTTAAATGGAGAGCTGCCATTTTAAACCCCAACTTAGGAGAATATTGATACAAACAAGAGCCAAGCGTCCTACAACTGCAGGGTTTCCTCCCTGGCATTGACTAGGAAGCTGCGTTGTCCCCCAGCAGTGAAGTAGGTGGACTTTATGGAAGGTTTGTTAATTGGAGTCCTCTATGAACTCCACAAAAGTGCTAATTTTAGTTCAGGAATAATACATTTTAATAAACCTTAATAACTCAGTGATTCAGTTTCAAATGTATGGGCTGAATAGCCCTTATCCTACAGAAAAAGAACATCAGTGGAATGAAGTTATTTGCTGAAAACCATACTAAAGGGGTGAGTTGACAATATTTTTCTTGATTAAGAGAAGCTGTGTAGACAACCATGAGACTGTCACTGTACTTTGGGGCAGGATCTGCAATCAAAACTATACTGAATAGGAAACATAATGCATCATATTCCTCCCATGCATCTAGCACAACTAATACATTATTTTATGAAGTCACAATCTGGAAATCAGTCTTCAGAAAAAATTCCATACCCATCCGATTGCTTTAAGATTTTAAGTTTTTCCTGGACAGAGAAAGGAAGTTCTGGAAGGAACACTCTGGTCATTCAAGGCTTTGCCCTGCCCTGTAGTGGAAGCCAGACCTTGGGCCAGGGCTTTCCCTCCAGTCCTTAGTGCGGTCTGCTTGTTTAAAGGAAATTTGAATTACAAGAAGGGCCAGGCAGGAGTCAGAAAACAAAAACAAATAGCAAAACCAAAAAGCAAATAGCACATCAGTTTTTGAGTGTGCTGGTGAAAGGCACAAGGACGAGAAGTGTAGGGGGCAGAGAACACTGGAGCAGCTCCGGGATAGCAGCTCCGAGGAGCACCCAGAGAAATGTGGTGACTTGGAGGCTGATTCACAGCCTTCTGTCCCCAAGGGTACAGAAGGTGAAGCCAAAGAGAGATGGCTTATTAGTTAGAAGAATACAAGTAACATTGTCTTTTGCTTTTACCCAATTGTCTGAGAGAGAATTTTATGATAAATAGTTTTCTTAGGGGGAAATTGATGTGACGGAGGTTGTGTTTCACACATTTCCAGCCCAGTTGTGCTCACTTGAAAATTCAAAGCAGGAGCAGAAGGCAGTTCCAAGACCCCAGTGAGAGGAAGAGGGGCTCACTTTTCAAAGCCTGAGCCTTTGTGAGCAGTGGAGGTGGGGACAGGGGCACAGAGGGAGGGAAGGAAAACAAGCATCATCCTAGCAAAGACATAAGAAGAAACAAGGGGGAAAGAAATTTAACAGCTGCTGTTAAATTACACACAGAAGTGTGAAATATGGGGGAAAGCGAGCAATGTCTGAAGAACATTTTTGGAAATTTGAGATGTGTGAATGACTATGTCACCCCCTGATTCATCACTTGAAGAAGATCTAAAATAAATGGATAGATTATTTTCCAAGAACATTAACTTTAGATGATGATGTCTTTAGTGTGATGTTGAGCTGAGACTGACCCTGGGGAGACCCGGCTTTGCAGAGCCTACACACGTGTTCATTGATGAAGCTTCCATAAAGAAACGTTCTCAAGCGTAGTCATGGCCGCCCATGTCTATCCTTCATCTCTCCCCAGGTCAACCAGCCGCTCCAGATGCCCTTATTTTGTTGATGGTAGCACTAATTTTCTAGCAAAGAAACCATGTCAGCAGCTTCCTGATTGTCCTGAGCTTGCCATCTTATTAGTCCTATTGCCAGCAGGGGAGGGGAGAGAGTTTGTGATGATTTCACATTGAATAAGTATGGTGTTGGAATTTATAATCAACATTAATCATCTTTAGTAATGCTGACTGTCCTCTGAAATGCAATTTCCTCAGGTAGTGTGTTCATGGAATACTGCTACGGTGTCATATTATTACACACATCCTTATATGTAGCAATTTTAACAAATTACATTAACATAAGAATATTTGTTAATTATGCTATAAGTTAAATCTTTTAAATAAGTGTGTCAAATGTCTTATCCCTGAGCTGAAAGTGCTCCCATTATCCAAATGGTCATGACTTTGCAGATGATTCCAAGTATTCTTTAGGGATTGCATCACTGTAACCTTATGTATCCATTCATGGTACAGTTGTGAGAAGTAACTCTCTTGGTTTTATGCAACTATATTTATTATCTTAAGGTTTATTTTTGAATTCCTATGCCCTATTATTTAACCTCTGTCTCTTTTGCTTCCTTTTATTCATCACAGTTTTATTTTTTATCTTCTTTCAGGAACTCCCTAGCAATTTGGTCTTACATCTCTCTTTTCTTTGATAGGTTCCTGTATTTTCTATCTCACTAGCAGTCACAATTTGTGGACTTGGGAATTATGTCCTTCTACAATTCCTGTAATGATCACATGCCTGCTGTTTTCGAGTCAGAATCAATGTTTTCTGGCTAAATATTATTGCACATGTCAGAAGTTCTTAAGTTGGTATATACCGTCATACAAACAGCAATGACCAAGAATTCAAAACGCCCAAGTTTTATGCCTGACCTTACCCATGAGCCCTTGTGTGAGCTGCTACGGACATGGTGTCATCAGCTGTGGGATGAGAATAGTCACATTTACCTCACTCCTCTTACACATCTGTCGTTAGAGACTTTTTATGGCGATGTAAGCTTGCTGATCAATCAATAATTGTTTCACAATCTGTATTACTGGCTTACGGTTGAAACCTATCTGGATTTAGGAGAAGCGAGAAACCAGAAGTGATACAGAAACTGAGAAAAAAAAGAAAAAAAAAAAACAACTTGCATTTGGCAAATAGTCACAAGCACACTTCTCAAACATAAAAACATCAATGTAGGTATTTTCTGTGCAAAACTAAATATGTAAAAAAATAAAAAAGAAAGTTAAAATAGGTAAATGGATAAGTGGCAGAATCTTTTCTACTTGAAGACAAATGGACTTTTTTTTCATTATAGAAGTCATTGTGATTATAAGAAAAGTGATCTAAAATGTATTAACAGAAATGCCAGTTTTTTTCTTCATTTCATTATCTGAGTCAAACACATTCTCTTTACATTTTAGAGGTGAGTTTGATTCCTAAAGCATATTCTGCTCCAAATTGTATTCTACTTATTTGCAACCTAGAAACTCATTTATTAATTCCTACAGAATAATGATGTTAAAAGTTTTTATAAAGAAGCTATAAAATTGTCAAGAATAGACAATCATTTTGAGACATTTGTGTAATAATTTGATAATGGCATGTTGTGGACAGAGAGTGAGAATGAGAGAGAGAGTGAGGGAAAGAGAGAGAGACAGACAGAGACAAAGAGAAAGAGACAAAGAGAGAGAGAGGCTGAATATTTCTCCATAAATCAGAACTCAGAATAAATGCTGCAATGTAGAACTCATACTGAGAGGCAGTTTAGTAATTCATAGGGCCTGGTTTCTCCTGTCTGAAATTAGCATTGCTGGCAGCTGACACATCACGTATTTCAAAGTCATCACATGCAGAAAGGTTCTTAACTTCAGTAAAGGCATGGCTTTTAGCAAATCCCTTGCACATGATCAATGATTGTTTTAAAATTACAAGCTGGAGATAATCACCCGATATGATCTATTAGAGTTTGGGCCTTTTCCCTAAATGCTTTTAGAAGTAGGAAGGGCATCATATTAATTCTTCTTGATATTTCATTAGTTTCTTGTCACTTGTTTCATTAGTTATATGCTATTTCACGTTGGTGTCAATGACACAAAGCTAATTTCTTGACATATACTTTTTTATGAACCTCATGAATTGTGCTCACTATGGAAAATGGGCTGAATTTTTTATTGGTTTATCCTGAATGAATGATTATATTGAAATAATTTACTTTGTAATTGTTGCCAAGAAGGTACTTCCACAAAAGTGTGTACATTTGTAAAGAAATGGTTTGGAGGGAATAAAATTTTACAGTATTTGATAGACAATGAATATGAATAATGTAGTCACCATATTCACTGAAACTTCCTCTTAAATCCTGCCTCATAAAATAAAGGTGATTTTCATAGTCTAACCTAACTCAAGAAAATTTTTTATTTTTAAAACCATTGATAGCGACAACATTTTAAAAGGTGGAAGAAAGGCCTCAAAATATTTGACTTGAGAAATTTGCCTATAAAATATATGAAAACAATAGGGCATCAATATGTTTAGAGGATATAAAATTGCTTTTGTGTATTAGAACCTTAAAATAGTAACTATACTATAAAAATAAGCATACCCTTTAAATTTTTTTAATGTATTTAAAGAAATAAGGAATTCACTGATCGAGTTTTGCAAATTATACTATGTAGAAAATATGCTATTTATTTATTTTATTATTAATGGTATTTTTCATTGATAAATCATAATTATACATGCATGGGGTACAATGTGATGTTTGATACATGTATACAATTTTGAACGATTAAATCAAGTTAATTAACATATCCATCACCTCTCTTACCTATCATTTCTTATGATGAGACATTTGAAATTTACCCTCCTAATTATTTTAAAATATACAATACAATATTATTGACTATAGTCACCATGCTCTACAGTAGATCTCAAAACCTATTTCTCCCTTCTACCTGAAACTGTGTACCCTTTGATCAACAACTCCTCATTCTCTCCCTTCCCAATCCTCAGCCCCAGGTAGCCACCATTCTACTCTATACTCTATGAGTTCAATTCTTAGATTCCACATATAAGTAAGCTCATGTGGTATTTATCTTTCTGTGTGTGGCTTATTTCACTTAACATAATATCCTCCCAGATTTATTCAATCTGTTGAGGAAATCCTGTCATTGACATTTAAAGGCTGAATAGTATTCCATTCTGAATATATACCATGTTTTCTTTATCCATTCATTCACTGATGAATGCTTAGGTTGATTATATATCTTGGCTATTGTGAATAATGCTGCAATAAATATGAGAGTGCAGATATCCTTTGATTTCAGTTCCTTTGGATATAAACTTAGAAGTGGAATTACTAGATTATATGGTGGTTCTATTTTTAGGTTTCTGAGGAAACTCCATATAATTATTCATAATAACAGTATTGAAAATTGTTTGTCTCTCTGTCACACTTCTCATTTTGTTCATAAATAGTTTTCAAATTTTACTTAATTTTCTATTTATATTTTCTTGGAGTTCACTGTACCTCTTTGAAAGGACTATTCTAAATTCTCCGTCAGTCTTTTCATAGATCTCCATTTCTTCTGGGGTCTGTTACTAGAGCTTTATTGGTTTCTTTTGGCGGTGTTATATTTCCATGAGTTTTCATAATCTTTGTTTCCTTACATTGATGCCTGTGCATCTGAGGAGATGGCCAACTCCTCAGGCCTTTGCAGGTGTCCTTTGGTGGTGACAGACCTTTATTATTTGGTCTAGCCTGGGATTTTGGATGGGTCAGTTGGTAGCAACCCTGGACAGGCAGAGAACCTTGGCGTCAGGTTCTCTAGTTGTGCTGGGTCACTTCCTGTGCTCTGATGTTGAATGGTACTGCTGACTGTGCTCCATGTGCTGAAGATACTACTGGCTGGACTCTACCAGTTGCTGTCTGGGCTTTGTAATTATCTCTGATCAGGTTGTGCAGGTTGTTTTCCTGGCTAGGCAACACTGTTTTTGGGGATCTGTAATTGGGCATAGCCATGTGCTGGAGCTTCAAGGCTGGGTGAGGTCTCTGGGTTTTAACGTGGCCACGTCTGGTGTTGGGGTCAGAGGTTATGCTCCACAGATATGTGTGAGCTTGGGTTTGCCTCTCAGCCAACAGTAGGCTTAGCAAGGCACAGAGGCTTGGTAGAGTCACTGTTCAGCAGCTGTTGTTGAGTGGGGCTATATGCTCCTTCTATGGGTAATTGGTGACTTGCACTTGCCTCCTGTCCTGTGGAAACCTTGAGGAGAGCACCAGGGCTCTGTGGAGAAGCTGGCCAAAGACTTGAGCCTGGTAGACCTATGGACCATGCTTTCTGCAGCATAAGGCTGTTGGCTGGTCTCTGAGTTATGGTGCCTTCATGGACTGGAATGCAAAACAACAGCTGAGGTCCATGGGCTGGTCATTGGGAGCGCCACTCCCATTCTTGCTTCTAACTTACCCCAGGTAGTCTAGCCATGTCAGCGCTCCTAGTGATTTTTTTGGGAAAAAACAGGCATGAGGCTCCAGCAAAGGACCCCAGAATGACGGGGAAGCTGAATGTCCACCTCCAACTCACTTTTCCCACTATAGAAATCCTGAAAGGAGGGGAATCCTCTGTGTGCAGTGTTGTGCTGGTGCAGGAGTGGGTGGCATGGTCAATATGGCTTTTCTATCTGAATATGGCTTTTTTTCAGTTTTTCAGCTTGAGGGAGTGTTTCAGCCTCATTCTCAAGTTCTGGGATATTTATGAAGATATTCTTTTCTGTGGATAGTTCATAGTTGGGTTTCTGTTGGGGGCATGAGCAGCCAGAGAACCCCTATTTTGTCTTGCTGAGGTCACTCTTTCAGAGAAGATGCTATTTAAAAAGAATGCTTTGTTATTTCTAAAGCAACTCTGTGAGTGTGGTGATGATTTTCACATATTTGTCTCTGCTTTTATAACTACATTAGTATAAAAATGAGATTTAAAAAATCACACTTGGAAAAATCTTATGTTGGTAGTTTACAGCTATTCTACTGTTTATTATGTGTGTTTGTGAGTGTGGCCAAAGCAACATAAAGGGTATTTTCTGAATGTTGATTGAAAGGTGGGTGTTTTATCTACAGTATGTTTTCAAATGACTTACTTTCTGTTGCTTACTATTGAAAGATAAATCCTGTTAACTTAGAAGGTCATTTTTGTTACATTATGATTTTTGAGTAAATTGGCTTAGAAATAGACATCTGGAGAATTTAAAAAGTGTTAAGTTTCCAACCCACTCTCTATGATCCAAAATTTAGAAGTGCTAGTGTTGGAGAGCACAACTAACATCAAAATTACAGTAATAACACGACCAATGGTGTCTAAATTGTGCTAAATGTTTCTGAATTCCTTTTAGATGTTTTTGATAACTAAAATTTACATAAATACTCCTACATTTACTTTATGAAACAAAATAATGCAAAAACAAAGGCAAAGGCGCTAAGTAATACTGTCTAATGGCCCTTCTGATGCTGCCTGTGTGAAGGAGCTATTGAGATTTTTTTAAATCAAAACATGAGCTCTATCACTCTAGTTTATATACATTTTATTTCTTCACAAATGTGCTACCAAAGTTTGCTCACCAAAAACCATTTGTTGTTCTACACTGGAGGATGCGTAAAATATACAATGATATCTGTCTGCCTAGATTTTGAACTGGGTGGGGTTTTTGGCATAGGGTAGAAATGAGTACTTGCTAAGATAGAGAAATGAGAGGTATATCTTAGCATCAAGCTACATGAATGCGATGGTACACACATTAGAAATGGGTATAACTTAAGTCTTTTGAATTTGTAAGAAGTATTATTTGGGAAATATATACGTAGTAAACATTAAAGAAGACTTGAAAAGCTGATATTACCATTCATAGGAGATTTTTTAAATAAATAACTTGATTTTTACCTTTTAATGTCTTCCATGGTTTGCCAAAAATTTTCACATATATATATAAATATGACTCAGACACAAATATTTTAACACTACTGATTCTATGAGTTTAGTATTTGGAATTAGAGAGAGGTGATTATTTCTCTCATTAGCAAGCAGTGTGATTGGTGTGAGCTTGGGAAGTTTCCTGAGAAAATGTTCTTGTTTGTTCCATAGTGATGAAAGCTGGCATTATTTTGAGGATTAAATAATAAGAACCAGTGTATAAATAATTGGCTTTGAGCATAGTGACTGTCATATATACAATATAGAGTATGTTGAAAATTACCATTATTCATATGGTTAAGAATGATTTTTAGCAGTATTAGCAATATGGAAGAGTAATCACATTTGAAAATCGCTTCAGCTATAAAAACAAAAAGAACAATGGCGAAACTTGTCAAAATCCACTCCTTCAGGACCCTGGATATTAACTAAAGTCTTGCAAAAATCCAAATAATGTTTATGGGAAAATAATTTTAATAAAACATACTTTTTTTGGCATTTTAATTTATCCTATTCCTAGCCCCTCCCCTAGCTCTGCGGCAGCCTTGAAAACCAACAGCCTGAAAAAGCAGCAGCACAATCAGAATAGTTTGTAGCTCTCTGAAAGCCCCTTCCACACAGAATTGTTACCATATGACTTGTCTAGGAGTTCACTGGAAACTCCCATTCACAGGGCTTGTTTTATTTGACCTGACTCTGAACTTACTAAGTTAGAACATAGATGTCCAAAGAGGGCTTTGAAAAGCTCCAGCTTATTCCTGGGAATCTAGATGGTTACATGCATATGCAAGGCTGCACAGGAAAGATTTGAGAAGACCTTATGGCTATGTACAAACAGGAAGTGAAGGCTAAGTCAGAGCTAAGAAGTGCCTCCCAAAGCATTAGATGCATGCTGCAGTAAGCTTAGAGAGCCCCCCATCCAGCTTGGGAGATTTAATTATGCAAAGCACTAAGGCAACCAAGAAGAGATTTCCATGCTCACTTGTTCTATAAAATACAGACTTTCAAGAATTAATTCTGGAGAGTCACTGAACAAAAACAGCAGCAGCAACAACAACTAGTAGCAACTAAAAACAGCAATAAGTAGTAGCAATAATAAACCAGGGGACTGAGGAGGAAACCTTAACTTGTAACATTATTTAAAATGTCAATTTTCAAAAAAAAATATGAAACATTTAAAAAACATACAAGTATGGCTGATGCATAGGAAAAGAAAATCAATCAATGAAAAATGTCCTTGAAAAAGGACAGGTGTTGGGCTTACTAGACAAAGATGTTAAATTAACTGCTGTAAAAATGTTCAAAGAGCTAAATGAAGCCATGCACAGAAGTTAAGGAAAGCATGACAATAGTGTATTATCAAATAAAGAATACCAAGATAGAGATAACTATTACTAAAAAAGAATTAACTGGAAATCCTGGAGTTGAAAAGTCTAAATGAAGAGAAAGTAGAATAGTAGCTGAGAGCAAAGAATGAATACATGGATTATGTAATACAAGAAATAGGATATTACATTAACACCTTGAAAGAGGCCTAAAGCAAAAGATATTATCTCGTACCTCAATTATACCAGATGCCTGGAAAAGTGAAGCCATATATTGATGACACTACTCTTGCTTTTAAAACTTGACAAGATTGAGTGGAAATTTAAAAATCTGAGTAGCCTCACTCAGAGACATTTTCATGCAATTTAAAGGCGGAATGGAGTAATTACCAAAAATTAAATGGAATTCTTATCATATGTCCATGTCTTTTGAGTTGTATATCTTTTTTTTCTGTAAGGAGTCCATGGCCAGAGATTAGGGTGTGAACTGTAATATTATGATATAATATATATTTTATCTCTGCCCTGGGTTCCTGGCACACAGCTTCTAAAATCCTTATAGTTTCTGAAGTGATAAGTGTCTTTTTACATGCTAATGAAATGCCTGGAGGCTGAGGGCACTTGGACAGCCTTGGGATGAGTGGCCTGTTATCAGGAAAATCAACCATGTAATTAGAAGATTAGAACTTTCAGCCCCACCTTCAACCTCCGGAGAGGAAAGAGAGGCTGAAGGTTGAGTCGATCACCAATGGCTAGCGATGTAACCAATCATAATGAAGCCGCCATAAAAACCCAAAAGACAGGGTTCAAAGAGCTTACAGATAGCTCTTTGGAGGTTCCTGGAGAGTGTCATATGATGGAAAAGGCATGGCCGCTCTTTGCGCCTTTCTGCGTACACTGGCACATGCATTTCTTCCGTGTGGTTGTTCATCCCTATTCTTTTTAAATCCCTTATTAACAAACCACTTAAGGTAAGTGCTTCCTTTAGTTCTATGAGACACTAGCGAATTAATTGAACCCAAGGAAGGGTTGTGGAAATCTGGAATTATAGCCAGTTGGTCAGAAGCACAGTTCACAACCAGGGTTTTGCAACTAATATCTGAAATGGGGTGAAGTCTTGTGGGACCGAGTCCTCAACCTGTGGGATCTGACACTATTGATAGGTATTAGAGAATTAAATTGAATTATCAGACACCCAGTTGACGTCCATTGGAGAGATGATTGTTGATGACAGAAAATTTCCGACACATTTTTGTGATCAGAGGTGAACTGTTTTATCAAGTGGTATGTAAGGGTAAAAGGAAAAAACAGTTCTTTTTTCCTTCACAAGTACAATAACTGAGAAAGAAAAATAAATACTACAGGGGTTTACAGTAGTTCGACATAGCAGAAGAAAGAAGCAGCAAATTTGAAGATAGGTCAGTTGAAATTATCTGATGCTAGGAACAGAAAGAAAAAAAAGAAAAATAAATCTTAGGATTCCAGACACCATCAAGTATACCAATATATGCATGGTGCGAGTGTCAAAAGGGAAGGAAATAATGAAAGCCTGGAAAAAATATTTGAAGAAATAATGGCCATACACTTCCTAAATTTTATAGAAAACATTAATCTCCACTTCTAAGAAATTCAATGAAAGCAAAGAATAAACTCTTACTATTTTAGAATAAATTCAAAGAGTGGCACCCCGCGACACATGATAATCAACTTTCTAAATACAACTACAAAGACAGGGTCTGGATAGTAGGAAGAAAAATGAGGCTGATTTAAGAAAGGAGATCTTCAATAACATCAATAGCTGCTTTCTCATCAGAAACCAAGGAAACCAGAAGGCAATGAGATGTCATATTCAAAGTGTTTTAAAAAAAAGTCTGTCAACCAATAATTCTATATTCATAAAACTAGCTCGCAAAATGATGAAGAATTTAATACATTCCCATATAAACCAAAACTGAAAGAAATCATTGTTAACCTACACTTTCTATAAGAAATGCCAAAGAAAATCTTTCAGCCTGGAAAAGTTTTTCAGGCTAGTCAGTAACTTGAATCCATATGAAGATGGGCAGAAATAAAAACATGAGTTAATTTAACTATATAGGTAAATGTAACTATCATAAAAACATATTTTTGTGGGAAAATTGTATGTGTGTGTGTGTGTGTGTGTGTGTGTATATATATATATACACATATATATAAAAAATTGTATATCTAACACTAACCCTAACCATATGTATATATAGAGAGAGAAAGAGAGAAGTAAAAATATTTTTGAAGAATTGGCTCACATAATTGTGGGTGCTTACATGCCTAAAATCTGTAGGGCAAACTGGTAGTCTAGAAACTCAGGAAAGAGTGGACGCTGTAGTCTTGAAGCAGAATTGCTTCTTGCCTCATAAACTTTAGTTTATGTTCTTAAAGGCTTCAATCGTTTGGCCAACTCATCAGAGGAGAGATACAGATAGCAAATAAGCATTTTAAAAAGATACTCAACTTCATATTCCACTAGGGATTTGCAAGTTTAAACAATGAGACACCACTACACACCAACTTTTCATTAGCCAGAAATGAAAGACATCAACAGCACCAAAACCTGGTGAGAACATGAAGAATTTATTGCTCTTTGGGATGCAAAATAATATAGTCACTTTGGAAAATAATTTGGCAGTTTCTTACAAACAAAATATACTCTTAGTATATATCCCGCAATCACACTCCCTGGTGTGAATTGAAAAAAGTCCCAGATGAGTTGAAAGCTTATGCCCACAAAAAATTCTACACACAAATGTTTATAGCAGCTTTATTCATAGTTGCCAAAACTTCCTGGCAACCAAGCTGTCCTTAAATAAGTGAATGGATAAACAAGCTGTGGTACATTCACACAATAGAGTATTTTTCAACGACAAAAGTAAGTGAGCTATCAAGTTATAAAACTTTATTAAAGTACTTTAGATTCCTATTGCTAAGTGAAATAACCTTATCTGAACATGCTACATGCTTTATGATTCCATCTTTATATCATTCTGAAATGTGGAGACAGCACAAAAGACTAGTGGTTGTTAGGGAATAGAAGTAGGGAAAAAAGAATAACATGGTGGAACACAGAGGATTTTTAGGGCAGTGAAATTGCTATGTATGATACAACAGCGATGGACACATATCCTTATATGTTTGTCAAAAAACGTAGAATGTACAACAAAAAAGTGAATTTAAATGTAAGCTATGAACTTTAATGATAGGGTGGCTCAATAATCATCAACAAATGTCCCACACTGATGCAAGATATTAATAGCAGGGGAAATTAGGAAGTGCGAGCTCACATGGAAACACTCTGTAATTTCACTTATTTTTCTATAAACCTAAACGGCTTTAAAAAATAAAGTCTATTTTTTTTAAAAAAAGTAGTAGAACAAACTTGACAAACTTACACTTTCTGATTTCAAGCTTACTCTGATCCCACATTGAAAAAAAATTGTGTGATGTCTGCGCAAGAATTTGGATGTGGATCTATGGAGTAGATTTGAGAAAACAGAAATAACCCCACATATTTATGACCAATTATTTTTTCATAAAGGGAGTTAGATAATTCAATGGGGAAAGAAAAATATTTTTAACATAAGTTGAAATAAAGAAATTGTACACAGTCCTAACACCACATATACAAATCAACTAAAAATGGATCAAACAAATCAATGTCACAGCTAACTTTTAAAACCCTTGGAAGAAACCTAGGTACAAATCTTTTTGACTCTGAATTAGGCAATTGTTTCTTTCACGTGGTACCAAAAGCAAAATTAATTAATTAATTAATAGATAAATAGATAAATTGAACTTCATAAAAAATTTGAAATACTTTGTTTCAAAGAACATCATTAATAACATGGATAACCCACAGAGTGGGAGAAAGTATTATATGCATATCCCATATCTTATGGGATTAGTATCCGGAATACATAAAGAAATTTCACAACTCAGTAATCAAAAGGCAAACAGGCCAGTGCAGTGGTCACGCTTGTAATCGCAGCACTTTGGGAGGCCAAGGTGGGTGGATCATCTGAGATCAGGAGTTCGAAACCAGCCTGGCCAACAAGGTGAAACCCCTTCACTACTAAAAAAAACCACAAAAATTATCTCGGCTTGGTGGCACACACCTGTAGTCCCAGCTACTTGGGAGGCTGAGGCAGAAGAATTGCTTGAACCCAGAAGGCAGAGGTTGCAGTGAGCCAAGATCGCACCACGGCACTCCAGCCTAGGTGACAGAGTGAGACTGTATCTCAAAAAAAGAAAAAAAAAGGCTAACAACCCAATTAAAAATGAGAAAAAAACATTACTAAAACTTTTTGAAAGTTATAAACACAAATGGCCATTAAGTACATAAAAACATGGCCAATATGATTACTATTAGGAAATGCAAACCAAAACCACAATGAGATACCACTTGACACCCACTAGCATGTTTATAATAAAAAAGGACAAACAATTGCAAATGTTGATGAGGATATGAAGAAACTGAAACCCTCATACTTTGCTGTTGGAAGTATAAAATTGTGCAGCTACTTTGGAAACATCTTGGCAGTTGGAAAATTACTGTATGACTACAACAATTCCATTCCCAGGTAGATATTAAGAGAACTGAAAACACTGGTCCACTCAGAAGCTTGTACAGGAATATCCATGGGCGCATTATTCAAAAAGCCAAAAACTGAACACGACACTAATCTTTCATCAATGGATGCATGGAGAAGCAAAATGTGATATGTTTATCACAATAAAATATTATTATTCAATTTTAAAAAGAAATGAAGTAATGGCACATGCTACAATACGGATAAACTTTGAAAGTGTTATGCTAAGTGAAGAAAGCCAGACACAAAAAGCTGTGTATTGTATTATTTCATCTGTATGAAATATCCAGAATGGGCAAATCGATAAAGACGGGAAACAGATTAGTGATTGCTGGGGCCTGAGAGGAGAAGAAACGGTGTGACGAAGTGCCACAGGGCATGTGGTTTGTTTTTGGGGCTATGAAAATGTTCTGGAGTTAGAAAGTGGTGATGATTGCACCGCTTTGTGAATATATTAAAACCCACTGATTTGAATGCTTAAAAGAATGAGTTTTATAATATATAAACTATGCCTCAAAAACGAATAAATAAAAAGTAAAAATAACTAAAAATTAGGTGATTAAAAAATAACTAATGTTAGAGTTTCATTAATACCTTGGTCTCGTAAGTTTTTCATCAGATCATGTTAAAACAAAATTGAACTGGAATATAAAGTGGATATGTTTCACTTTCTCACGTTAGCCTGACTCAGTGCTTTGGGATTTGAGACTGGCAGGCACAGAACACGAATAGAGAGAGAAGTCAAAATGAAGTCAAATTGAATATTTCGCACAATAAGGTAACATTTTTGACTTTGAATGTTTGAAAAAATACCACAGTCGCCTGTTTCTATTTTCTTTTTCTTGATTTCACATCGTTCTGATAAATAATTAGGAATGTATGATACTTTCTCCATCTGAAAAAAACGGCCAAATACCCTGTTGCAGCATCATCTTCACATGAAGGGTAAATGCATTCACTTCTCCAAAGAAGAATTTATCATAATGACGTTATGTGTTTCAAAGAGAACGTAGAAGCCGTTGGTGTTTGAAATTTGTGCTTGGCAAAAGACAGCTTGTCTCTTCAAAGAAAAACATGTTTAAGAGGCTAACAAGGTTTTCTAAACATCAAATAGCTTTCCTAAAAATATATATTTGGATTATTTAATTATAAATAAATAAAAATGAGATTTTAATTTACTTCTGTCCACCCAAGAATTTAAAAACTCAAAAGTAGGAGAGCAAATAGAGTGGAAAACAATTGAAAAATAAACATTTAGAATTTTTGGAATCTAAAATTTCTAGAATCTTTTTGGAACCTATAATGTGACAATGTAGAAAGACAATTTTTTTCGTTAAAATTCATTAGCTTGATCAATATGGTTACAATTTATTGGTAAGAACCATTTGAAAGGTTTTTTATAATTTGAGAGCAGCAATGAGTTTCAGGTTTGAATAGTCACTGTGATTTTGGAACAGAGAAAACAGACATGAATCCATGCTATGGTCAATGTGTTATGCAAGAGATGTAGATATGATACCTCATTTTATTTGTCCTAAATTTTTCTAATAACTTAGGCTGGAAAATATACCTTTTTGTTTTTCTGAGCACACTTGGAAAGCTCAATATAAAAGGTGAAATTTCATAAACAATCCAATGAACTTTATCATATTAGGCTAGACCAAAAGGACATGTTAGATAAATTATATTTATCATTCAATTATATTCCATTTAATTTGATTTTTTATAGGTCTGAAGGAAGAAGGAAAGATGTCTTTAATCCATTTAAACCTATCAGTACATTCTCCTGATTCTATCCAGATAATAACTAGAGCTTCTTATACATTCTAAAATACCAGATTACCTTGCATAATATTTCTATCTGTTGAATGAATTAGGTAGATAGACAATTGGAAATCTTCTCATAATTTGAGTGCTTCTATTAGTTGCAATGTCTTAAGTCAAGAATATATATATTGTGTTTATTTTTTGGTCAAACATGTTAAATGGGAAACTGTATGTGAAAAATTATTGAAAGTGGCAAGTGTTTCACACATACAAGGCATACGGCAAGAATCTGAGCTGCGTTATAACTGGATAATTCATGGATACGAGCCCTATTCCAGCATAAGCAAAATTCAAAATGACTAGCAATTTAATATATTTGTGTTGATTACTGGTCATATATTTACCAGTGAATCTGCAATGCATTGGATGCATGCAGTGCAGGCTTATCGTCATCAGCATGAAACATGGAAACATGAGCATGTAATACATGCGTGACTCCACTTTACCCAACCCCAATATTCCCAAACTGTTTCCTACACAGAATCAAGCAGTGTGCAACAGAATTATACACATGAAGGAGCGCAAGTGTTCAGGCAGTTGCATTACATATAAGAAGTTATAAAGTAATATCAGAAGACATTCTGTTTAGACAGAGCTTCTGCAATTAATCTTAATGTGTGTTTTGCATCCACCACTGCCAATGACTATGTCCTTGGGGATTCTGTTGACAGTCCTGGAGATCTACTCTGCAGGGAAATTAACTATAATTGTTAAGATAAAACAAAACATGTCTTTTGATATTACATGAAGTTACATTTTTATATTGGGATTGTTGTGACTTTTAAGTTGCATTGCAATGATGACTGAATAAGTAAACTTTTTGCTTAGTGATCATAATGAATCTCAAATTATGAGTGCTCAAGAAAAAAATGTGTGTGTGTTTAATTTCCCTAATAATAAATTAAATAGGCAAAAATAATTTTAAGCCAAGTGGAAATAAAGAGTGATTTAGGAATTGGGCAGTTTATGACCATACTATGTTAATGTTAATGAACAAAAAACCTTATTTATTTTAGTTAAGTGGTTTGGGCTTATTCTTTTAAAATTGTATCATGTAGCTAACAGAGTCATTAATCATTCAATTTTAAGTGAGCATAAAGTCAGTACCTTTGAGAATAAGAAATGAAGAGAAAAATACCTCAAAACCTAATGGGAACAACGACTTCTACAAGAAAATCACTAGAAAGAAAGCTGTTACACATGGCATGTTGAAATTCACAATATGAAGCAATTAAGAGAGCTAAATTAAATCAACTTTGTTAGCCTGCCAGAGTGAAGGAGTTTTCTTCTTCCACAGTCTAGCTATTATTAAACCAGGCTATGTGTTTTGTGTGTTTCCAGCTTAGCTCTCAGAATGCTGCTGACTTGAGAGATGGCAAGGAGATTTATTTGGGGAACTTTTTAAATTCACATCTAAATCCTTAAATATAATCAGGTAACAGCTCAAATATTCCAACTGCTTGATTGTTAGAAGTTAAAGCAGTTCAAATTTCTCTTTCTGCACTTCACAGTTTATTTGTTTGTTTCATTTGCCTTGTTTTATACTTCCATCATCTCTTAAGATGATATCATATTGCATAAATCCTGTACCTGCTTCCATCAATTAAAAATTATAGCCTCAAAGCTAGATTGCTATTTTATTCTTCCTAGTACTGTCACTGCAGACATCAATTCAATAATGGGAAAGAATAATAGGTTTGGGACTTTTTGTTAAATGTAAGATTTCAGGGTTATTTTGCTTTTTGCATTTATTTCATTCAAGGAGGGAAAAAACCTTGAGTGTACTAAATCTTAATTTCATATAATTATGCCAAATTACATTATCCTAACTATTGTAATAGACACCACTGATTAAGAAAATGTCTTTTTGATTGTGACTAAAAGGAACATTAAAAATCTAATTGAAGACAAATTAAATTCTCCAGGGATTTGCCACCTGAAATTTCAAGCAGTAGAAGAAACAAAATATGTATGGCTTTTTTTTTTTTTAATATCAGACTCATTCTGAAGAGTTATGCCTTTTGCTACTTCTTTTTTTCTTATTTTAGGAAACAAATATGTTGAGTGCATAAAAGACAGAAGCATCATACACCATCTTTCACTAGAAAAAAAAAGGCAAGCCGTAAAAAAGAGCCAAATACGCAATTTTAAATGTTCTACTAGCCGTATGAAGAAATAAAAAAAGAGAAATAGGGGAGATTAATTATAATGGTAATGTTTATTTAACCAAATCTATCAAAAACATAGCATTTCAACAAGTAGTCAATAAGAAAAAGCAATTGAGGTACTTCACCTTTTTAAATTGTTGCACTAAGTTTTCAAAACTCCATGTGTATTTTACGTGTGTGTGTGTGTATATATATGTATACTTGTATATATATATATATATATAAACTTACTCAATGCCGTTGAGATTGTGATTGAAATTTGTTTTGTAAGGCTGTGGGACTTAACAATCTATGTTAAGGATAAAGCCAATCACCTTTTAGAAAAATGTCAGGCACTGTGATTTACCCCACATTTCTTTCCACATTCTTCAGGAACACAATGTTGATTTTGCTTAGGAATCTACCTTTTGAGCAGGTGACCTTGTCATGCTCTCTGGGGTAAGTCCCGGGTGAGGTTGGGCTCCCTGGGCTGGGATTTGCCTCTGCAGACCCCTATTAGGAAGCACTCAGGATAACCCACCCTGGGAGGGAGTGGCACAGAGGCCTCCGAGGAGGCTCCAGCCTAGGCCACGGGAGCTCCGATGCGTGGAGATGCCTCCTGGGATGTCCTGAATTCAGACAGAGCCTGGGTCACGTTCTCCACATCAAGCCGACATCAGGCGTGGACTGCGCCGGGAGGGGACATGAGCTTGGGCAAGGCAGCTTTCTTCCATGGCCTGGGTGCTCAGCTGGGGCCCTCAGCTGGCAGCACGCCCAGAGGCTAACAGAGCATTTCGTTTTTGATGGGGGCCTCTCTGAAATGCTGAATAATATGATGCTGTTCTTTCAAAACTATCGGCTTCCAAAGCCTATGAAGAAGTCTAGAGATGCAATGTACAACATGAGGAGAGTAGTTAATAATACTGTATTGTGTGCAGGCACTTTACCAAGAGAGTAGATTTTAGGTACTCAAAAAAAAAAGAAAGAGGGAGAGAGAAAGAAAGAAAAAGGAAAGAGAAAGAAAGAAAAAGAAAGAAAGGAAGGAAAGAAAGAAGGAAGGAAAGAAAGAAAGAAGGATGGAAAGAGAGAAAGAAAGAAAGAGAAAGAAAGAAAGAAGGATGGAAAGAGAGAAAGAAAGAAAGAGAAAGAAAGAAAGAAAGAAAAAGAAAAGAAGGAAGGAAGGAAGGATGGAAGGAAGGAAAAGGAGCAAAGAAAGAGAAAGAAAACTCTATGAGATGATGGGCATGTTAGTTTGTTTGACTGTGGTATATATAGATAAATATATCAAAATATCATATAAACCTTAAGTATCTAAAAAATAAAAATAAACTAAGAGAATTGTACAAAGCACTGGGCAATCAGGTAAGGCGTCTGTGGTGGGGTTCGTGGCCCTCTGGGTGTCCTAAGGATGGAGGGTGTTACCAATCACTATCTCGGCTCACCTGCGACCAGACCAACTGTTGCTAGCCATGACGGTGCCTTGCTACACTGGCAGTAAATTCTCCTCAAATGGGAACAAAGGAAACCCCTCTTCCCTGCTAGCAGTGGGGAAGGCGTTCAGTTCCAACCTCCAGGCTAGCCTGAGTCCCCTAGCAAAAAGCCTTTAAAATATTGTTTACTCCTATAAAAAGACACAGAGATTCCCTCTTTCTTCTGGATATGAAGCCTGTGAGAAATTAAAAAAAAAAAAAAGTATGCTTTCCTCTTTTAAATAGTAAAGTAAGTACAAAATAATTTAAACTTCTTTTTGATCAAGGAATGTGTTATATCAGTAATGTGTGCTCTCCTAGAAGCAGGGGATCAGCTTTAATTAAAGGGAAGCTGCAAAGAAAATCCTTTGAATGTAAAATAATTTTGTTTACACTTTATGTGGTAGTGTAATTTTTTTCCTCATGTTAGCTAAAAAATTGCAACATTTATTTTTAGGGAGCAAAACCAAAAATATATCTGCTAACTAATCAAGTTGAGACAAATAACTTACTCAAAAACGTGACTGTTCTTCATTTATAAGTGACAAATAACTGTTATATTTTTCTGCCACCCAAAACAAAAAGTTAAAGACTTCCCTGCTGTCAAATTTACTAAACTAAGATGTGTTTATATATAGTTTGTAATCTTTAGGCTCGAGGGAATTACTTACAATGATAAAATGTTTTTGTTGGAAATATGTTAGTGTGAAATACGTGTCTGTCAGTTTTCTTTTGTAATTAACATGACATATTTAAAAATTTCTATTCCTAAAAATAATAAAAAAAAACCAAGGCTTTAACAATGACTAAAATGTTTTTTAATGACTACAATGCATTTTAATGGCAAAAATTATCTTTTAGAAAAGTTTAATGAGAGAAGTTATAAGGAAATTGAAATATGCCTTACAGTTTCTAAACTTACATTCATGTAGGGCTTTGTTTATCCAATAGTGTAATGAAGAAAGTTACTCTGTGGACTGGCGGAGATGCTAAAGACACAAAATGAAAAGAAGAGAAGAATATGAAGTTGGTGACCCACTGAAGTTGATTACATCTGAAGTTACTGTCACTGAATTTTTAAATTATGTATGATGATAAATTTCCATTTTGCTCAAACTCCTTGATAGAGGACTTTATGTTACAGCCAAAAGCAGTCTAATTGATACAGAGAGATCAAATATGCACTGGAATTATGTCAGAGGAAGTATTGTGTAGTGATTAAGATTGTGAGTTTTTGCATCATTTGGCAGTAGCTTCATGTGTATGACTTTGTCAATTATTAAATTATAAAATAAATTTGGAGTGGAAGTGAGGGAGAGGAGTAGAAGGAAGAAAAAATATCAATTCTTTCGCATGTAGAGAAGCAGAAATAATGTGCAAATTATCAGGAGAAATTCTGAAGACATCATAAGAAAAATAACACAAATAAAAAGTCATCTTGAAGTGATGATGTAAAGAATATAAAATCAGTGTTAAAAATGAAAGGAAACATATCCAAAATATTGATATATGTATAAAGGAAAACTCACATTTGCAAGTTTGAAAGATAAGGATTTCAAAATATAGAACACACTTGGCAAATGATTCAGTTTATGTTTTGTACAAGAGACATATCTAAAACAAAGAGAAAAGTCAAAAGTTAGAAACATGGGGAGATGCAAACAGGCATGTTAGATATACCAACAACAACCACAGCTATTGCCATGACAATATCAGCTACAAAGCAACTGGGATCACCAACCAATCATCTGAATCCTGCAAGTTTGGGCAACATACTACTAAAAGGATCCCGGGCAGACACTTTGTAATGATTAGAATACAATACGAAATGAAAATTTAGCATTTATAGATTTCCATAGATCACTGATACTTATTTTAAAAAGGACAGATAATTTAACAATAAATGGATGTGAATGTATTAGCTATGAGAATTTAATTGATGCTGAATTTCATGACAGCTTAAGTGGTCATAAACGGATGAAAACATAGTGGCCTTAAATACTAAATTAAATTAAATTGATTATATTAAACATATTTTTTAGAGAATGCAACTTCTTTCAAATCCTATTAAAAATCTACACACACACACACAAAATTTTTTTTTTTTTTTGGAGACAAGGTCTGCCTCTGTTGCCCAGTCTGGAGTGCAGTGATGTGATCTTGGCTCAGTGCAACCTCCACTTCCCAGGCTCAAGTGATCCTCCTGCCTCAGCCTCCTGAGTAGCTGGAACTACAAGCACATGCCACCATGTCTGGCTAATTTTTCTATTTTTAGTAGAGATAGGTTTTTGCCATGTGGCCTAGGCTGGTCTCAAGCTCCTCCTGGACTCAAGTAATCCACCTGCCTTGGCCTCCCAAAGTGCTGGAATTACAGGCATGAGCCACTGCACCAGGCCTAAAGAATTATATCATATATGCCATTGATATGGTTTGGATCTGTGTCCCTGCCCAAATCTCCTGTTGAATTGTGATACTCGGTGTCAGAGGAGGAGCCTGGTGGCAGGTGACTGGATCACGTGGGAGGGTTTCTCACGAATGCTTTAGCACCATGCTGTTAGTGCTGTCTTCACCATATAGTGAGTGGTTCTCTGGAGATCTGGCTGTTTAAAGGAACGGCATCTCACTTTCTGTCTCTTGCTTCTGCTTTCGCCATGTGATGTGCCTGCTCCCACTTCACCTTCTGCCGTGAGTGAAAGCTTCCTGAGGCCTCCCCAAAAGCAGAAGCCACCATGCTGCCTGTACAGCCTGCAGAATTACTAGCCAATTAAACCTCTTTTCTTATGAATTACCCAGTCTCAGGTGTTTATAGAAATGCAAGAATAGACTAATACAGCCATAAAGAAAATTTTAAAAACTGTCAAAAATAAAGAAATGGCATAACCAACTTTATCTATAACAATGCAATCAAACTAAACACGGTAATAACAAGACTAGAAATAAATAAAACCGTCATCTGCTAATTTTTCAAAAGAGAAGGAAAGGAAGAAAATGTCTCTTTAAACAACTCAAGAGGTCAAAAAGGAACTCATAGAAGAAATATTAAACTATCTAGAAATTATATTAATTCAATTCCCAGAGGACAATCAATGCTTTATTTTCTTTATTAATAAAACAAAAGTCATAAATGGATTAAATATTTATTCTTAAAGACTTTGGAAATTGGAAGATAAACTCAATGAAAGCAGAAGAAAGAAAGAAAGAAATAAAGATGAAAGCAAAAGTTAATGAACACAAATGTGGAAAAAGCGATGACCAATATATATATTCCAAATATCTTTGGGATAAAAGCAAGCAATAAATCACTTAGTTAAGATAAAAAGGGATATGTTAAAGGGGATAAAGTCTCAGAAAAGTAATTATAAGATTTAAATGCTATGCAAATATATCTGAAAATATGGGTAACATGGCTAAACTTCTAGCAAAATACCAAATGTCAAAACTGATTTCATAAGAGAGAAAATATATTTATATAAATTACATTAGAAAATAAAAAGAGAATATTTTCAAAAGTCTAAGAAATAGATAAATCCCATAGCCACATACAATTCAGAGCAGATAGGGCTGGGGAGAGTTAATTTTAAAAAAATTGGGTGTGTATAAATTTAGAAAAAGAGAGGAGGAGACTTTATTTCTTGTAAAGGGTTACAGCCTACAAGGTGGCTGTCTCACAGGCTGGGGAGCACAGCCTCCAGCCAAGGCCGGAGACAGGCACTTCGAAGGAGGAGAGGTTTGGGCAGGAGCTTTATGCTGAACACATTGGCTAAACATACATATTCAACAGGTAAGAAGAAGAGCTATGAATATTCATGAAGGGAGTGCTGACACATGCTTAATGGGCAAATGTGCATGTTACATACAACCCATGTTCACTTTTGGTAGAGACAACATATTACAATGAGGCCCTATATGTCAAAAGATCTTTTCGGGACACGAAGGCCCATGAGTGGTTCTGAGCCTTCTGGTTCTCTCTACAGAGATTGTAGACCGCCCAGAATCAGTCCATGGTGGATGATCTTAGCTGGAGAAAGTTACTGAAATTAGTCTCTTGTCCAATCAAAGCTGGGGTCATGGCTGATGAAACAGGGCTCAGTTAAGCAGCATCTGTGGGCTGCAAATTGTTTCACTATTGCTTGTCTCCAGGCCAGGGCTTATTTAGCTGCTGGAGAAAAATTAAAACCCTGTAGCAGTGAGAACACAGTTTATTATTCAAGTGTGGGCTGTGTGACTTAACCGTTGCCTGACACGGCCTTAGGTCCTGTTTGGAGTTTGGTATCTTATTGCCAAAAGGACTCTGTTCTGTCAGTCTTATAATGATCTCTATTTTAACATTAATGCTGGTCAGTTGTTTTGTCTACACAGCAAAAGAGAGTGTTATAATGAGTCCTCTGACCTCCCGTTCCGTCATGACGGGAGGAACTCAGTTTTAATGTTTATCTGGGGTCTCCTTGGCCAAGAGGGGGCCCACACAGTCAGTGGGGGCCTTAGGATTTAATTTTAGTTTACAGGAGGCAGGGCAAAAAGTCTCCTTGCTCAAACTCTTTTTAATAATGTTTTGTTTTGAGATAATCTTAAAGTTATAGAAAACTATACACCCCACATCCACATTTCCTCTTCAGCCATGTGGGGCTCACTGCGGACTACATTCTTCTCCTTTACAGCAAAAAGCCCCAGCCCAGGATCCCAGACTGCATTTGGTAGTCAGGGCACATTAACCACCTCCAGACCAGGACAGTCCGTTAGTCTCCCCTGGGCATCAGGAGCATAACTTTTTCAGAGATTATAGGCCAGTCATTATGTTGAATGCCCCCGATTTGGGGCCAGTCTTAATGATTAGATTCTTAATGATTAGATGTTTCTTAATTATTAGATTCAGATGATGCTTTTTTGGCAAGAAAAGTACAGAGGTGGTGATGGCTTCCTTCACTGCATGCTACCAGAAGAAAAATAATGTCAATTTGTTCCACCACACTGATGGCAACTTTGACAGGTTTCTCCATTGTAAAGTTAGTCTTTTTTTTTTTATGTTACAATAGATATTTTGGGGGAGATTTGATATATTTTGGCTGTGTCTTCACCCTAATCTCATTTTGAATTGTAGCTCCTATAATTCCCACGTGTTGTGGGAGGGACCTGGTGGGAGGTAATTGAGTAATGAGGGTGGTTCCCCCATACTGTTCTTCCGGTAGTGAATACGTCTCACAAGAGCTGATAGTTTTAGAAGGGGTTTTCCGTTTCACTTGACTCCCGTTCTCTCTTGCCAGCCGCCATGTAAGATGTGCCTTTCACCTTCCAATTGTGAGGCCTCCCCAGCCACGTGGAACTGTGATTCCATTAAACCCCTCTTTTTCATTATAAATTACCCACTCTCAGGCATGTCTTTATCAGCAGTGTGAAAATGGACTAATACAAGCTTCTTTTGGACCATACAGATTCTCATCATTCATGCAACCTTCATTCACTATTTTAGCATCCAATGAGGTTACTTGTCTTGATTAATTACAATTCTGTGCCAAATAGTAATTTTCTAATCTGAGAATTCCTTTTATGTTTTTATTAATTGGTAAGGAAGAACTTTTTCTTCTCCTCACTAGTTTATTTAATCAAATGTAGACTCATGGTTGTCTACTTTATTCAACGGAATGTAATCTGTTAACATCAGTATTTATTCTAATGCTTAAGTTCATGATTTAGCTAATGGAAACCCTTTCAAGATGGCTCCTCTGTCCTTCTGACATGTCGCCATCTCTAAATATTTGATTAAAAAAATAAAAATAACTTAGAACATGAAAAAAGAAACTGTTAACGGAGCATCTTTTTCTATTCTATATATATATATATGTATATGTCATAAGCCCTTTGACTGGCACTATCTCCCCTGGTGTCATCATTTCTAATAAATAATTAATTTATGTTTTATGCATACACATAGAACTACATAAAGCTTATATAGATATTTTGACTGATGCCTATCTCCATTAAGAAAAATCTGAAAATTGAAAACACATTCACTCCACATAAGATAATGCAAATATGTAAATAAACAGAGGTATGCAAATAAGATATGCAAGTAAACAAAGCGTTATATTTTATTTTTTCTTTAAAAATTATCTATTCAGTATTACTATAATATCACTGTAAACTTTTCAAGTGATTTTAAATATTCACCTTTTGAGTGTATGCTATTTCATTTTCTCTAACAAATAGAGTAGCTAATTTTTACCTACGTAAAACTATCAGGACTTGTCTTTCCAAAATGATACCACATTTTCAAGACACAAAAATCTTTCTGACACCTTAAAATATGTAATTCCTGTTTTATAAAGGGCAAGATCTGCAAGAGACTTAAAAATGGTAATGTTTATTCAGAGGTAATTTTTTTCTTTATTTCACTTTTATTACAGTTGGACTATCTGTGCTAATACATCGAGAGATAGATTTTTAGAAAAAAACCCTATTAGATTGAGGTATATTTTAATTTTTTTTAAGATTATGGAAATGGATTAGAAATATTTTGACGCTTTTTTCCGGTTACAAAAATGAATTAGAGAAAAGGTAACTGAAATGGCCAGAATTGCCTTGAAAATTGGTGACAGAGCTTGAACTGTAGAATTCGGACATGCAGATTTCAAACAGGTAATAAGCTCTTAGTTCTAAGCTTGTACCTTAATTAATTGAAAGCAAGCTCTGCTAGGAAGAATCATTCCAGGTTTGGTGGAATTAATGATATATTGGATGTTTCTAAGTGACCATATTCTTGTAATTGCATTATATCTCAGTAAGGGGCAATGTGGAACGATAAAGTCAGCTACTGAAAGCCTTTGTTTTTGCTTTTATCGTTTGAGTTTTAAGATAACTATATGCTCTACTTAGTTGCAATGATTTTGGCATAGTGTTTAGCTCCTACTTTGTTCAGCAAAAATGGATTTTCTTCCTCAGGCTTATTACTTTGATAGTCACTTGAGCAACAGTGTTTCTAAAGCAATTTTGATCATGTCATTGGACATAGTTTAAGTGAGACAGGCTGACTGAGGCCTTTTCGTTTCTTACTATGGGTAATTGCTATTTCTACAAATGTCAAAAAGTGCCATGTTTTCACAGAGCTGTGGACAACATTGTCAATTAAAGGGCAGCAAAATGTGAAAACAATTTCAATGCTTTATGGGTATCGATCTAGGAATAAACAATAGAAATTCATATTTAATACTCAGTGTTCTTGCTTATAAATCTAGTGCTTATAAGCTGCAAATATCCACTAATACAGTGGCTCTAGAAAATGGAAAGAAAAGGATCTTGGTAGTTCTTACAGAAAAACAATCATGACTTTCCTTAATTCTTTATATCAGTTCTGCCAAGTCATATGCAGCCAATATCCTAAATTCAAGTTCTATTTTGAGTAGACTTCTGTGCTAAAATTTTTCTTTGGCGTGTGTTCATGCAATAAAGGGAAGGTTTTAAGTGGCAGTTGTTATGTCCACAGGAAATTATAATACAGTCTAGAATTAATTGAGAATAAGTGGTTGCTGGTGAAGTCGTGAAATGGCCTTGACAAATTTCTTTATGTCTTTATTTCAACTGTTCAATCAGCAAAGATTTAATGCCTTCTCTGAGCAGAACATTGCTGTGTGTTAATAAAGAATGAAATTTAATTTCCTCTATTCAGCGGGAGATAAAAAAATCTTTTAGTCCTAGAGGAGAAGGTGGACAAACGATTTCTTATGCAGCTGTGGAGGAATTTTGTGAGTTTCCTTGGAAGTTCTCCACATCTCCAGGGAAGGTGCCTCTCTTAGGCTCAGTCATGGACCACACTGGTGCCCTGGACCTGCTCACGGTGGCTTCTTCCTGGCAGGCACTCCATCCTGTGAAATCCTGTGGACCATTGTTCACATATGAGGCGGGTGGGGTTAGATCAAGGCCAAGCCCATTAAAGTCCTTCCATAGTAAAGAGTACAACACGGCTTGAAAAGGAATATTCATAATTAGAGTAAGCAGAACTTTCAGTTCTGAGGTGGCCCCTGCAGGGATCATATTGTTGAAAGGGTCATAAGACCATGAGCTGCACTCCCAGATCATGCAGATTTCTCATCCGTTGGGGCTGTGCTGACCCCCAGGGTTTTGGGTGTGCATCCATGAAGAACTAGAAAAGTCCTGAAGAGTGGAATCCATTTACTACCTCAGATTCTTAGAATGTGTGTGTTCTATGTCCCTCTCCTGGTTTTCTGATAACTCGGTGCAAAATTGATACATAATTTGCCTCTTCATTTTCACCAATATATTTTTTTTAATTTTAATTTTAATTTTATTATTATTATACTTTAAGTTTTAGGGTACATGAGCACAATGTGCAGGTTAGTTACATATGTATACATGTGCCATGCTGGTGTGCTGCACCCATTAACTCGTCATTTAGCATTAGGTATATCTTCTAATGTTATCCCTCCCCCCTCCCCCCCACCCCACAACAGTCCCCAGAGTGTGATGTTCCCCTTCCTGTGTCCATGTATTCTCATTGTTCAACTCCCATGTATGAGTGAGAACATGCGGTGTTTAGTTTGTTGTCCTTGCGATAGTTTACTGAGAATGAGGATTTCCAATTTCATCCATGTCCCTACAAAGGACATGAACTCATCATTTTTTATGGCTGCATAGTATTCCATGGTGTATATGTGCCACATTTTCTTAATCCAGTCTATCATTGTTGGACATTTGGGTTGGTTCCAAGTCTTTGCTATTGTGAATAGTGCCGCAATAAACATACGTGTGCATGTGTCTTTATAGCAGCATGATTTATAGTCCTTTGGGTATATACCCAGTAATGGGATGGCTGGGTCAAATGATATTTCTAGTTCTAGATCCCTGAGGAATCGCCACACTGACTTCCACAATGGTTGAACTAGTTTACAGTCCCACCAACAGTGTAAAAGTGTTCCTATTTCTCCACATCCTCTCCAGCACCTGTTGCTTCCTGACTCTTTAATGATTGCCATTCTAACTGGTGTGAGATGGTATCTCATTGTGGTTTTGATTTGCATTTCTCTGATGGCCAGTGACGATGAGCATTTTTTCATGTGTCTTTTGGCTGCATAAATGTCTTCTTTTGAGAAGTGTCTGTTCATATCCTTTGCCCACTTTTTGATGGGGTTGTTTGTTTTTTTCTTGTAAATTTGTTTGAGTTCATTGTAGATTCTGGATATACATATATTTTATATATATTTTCACCAATCTTAAAACCCACACCAGATTCTGTAGCCTGGTCTGGCTCAGATGACCTCTTTTGCCATAAAAATGGAGATGTGTGACTCAGTTAATGATAGAGTCAACAGACCCTGCTGCATCTCTGGCTTGGGTGGATAATGATGACAGAGTAAACAAAGTTCATAGCGTTTTCTATTGCTTGAAAATCTTCACTGTTTGACTCTGTGTGTCAAGAATAAAATAGGGTGGAAATTGACCTTTTGACGCTCACTGGCCAAGTTCATTCACTTTTCATTATCTATTTATTCAGCAAGTATGTATTGAACACTCGCTGTGTCCCAGGCACAGGTCTAGCTGAAGACAAGAGACACTTGGGGTGCTCACCTTCTAGTAACTGGGGACAGACAATGATGTGATGTGAAAATAAATTACATAGTGTGTCAGGAAGTCCCATGTGCCATAGACAAATAAGAAACAGAGCAGTGAGAAGGATTGGGATGTAGGGAAGGGATTGTTGAAGTGTGAGGTGAGCAAGCAGACAAGCCTCATTGCAAAGCTGGCCTCTGAGCAGACATGAAGGAGGTGGTTGGTAACAATGGGAATACCCAGAAGAATAGCACCAGGGCAGAGGGAGCAGGAAGTGTAACAGCAACATGGTGAGGAGCAGATGCAGGAGCAGGGTGAGGAGGGATGTGCAGGGAGCTGTTTCCCCAGCATTGAAGAGCCCTGGCTCTGCCTCTCCCTGCACTCACTCCCTTGGAATTCACATCTAGTCTTAGGATTGTAGACACTTTCATGTACTGAGGACTTCCAAATTTATACTTCCTATCCATGCCTCTCTTTCTTTCTTAGATAACACATGTAGAGGGGTGTAAGAAAATTTAATTCCCTAAATAGGCGTTGTATGCTGACTGTTTTAAAGAAACAGTGTTTGGGCTATCATCTAGTTTTGTATTATTGATATTTCAGAAAGAAACGGCTAAAACTATCAAGGATTGAAAGAATGCTCTGTAAACTAGGTGGCCTGACCAGCCTGGGCAACATGGTGAAACCTCTTCTCTACTAAATATAAAAATTAGTTGTGAGGCTGAGGCAGGAGAATTGCTTGAACCCAGGAGGCGGAGGTTGAAGTGAGCTGCGATTGCATCACTGCACTCCAGCCTGGGCAACAGAAAGAGACTCTGTCTCAAAAAAATAAAATAAAATAAAAAAGGTGCCCTGGATTACCAAGGATATTATCAGATTATTCAGTAGAGTAAAAAGTAGTGTACTGGATTGAGTGTAGCATTTTGCTCACAAAAATTAAAAAATCATTCCATGTGGTTTGAGAGGTATGACATTCTGCTTGAATAAAATCCACCTCACCCTAAAATATACAATATTTATAAATTACTATTATATAGCTATGCATTTAGATTAAATGCCCCTTGGTCAAAACAGAAACAACTTGACTAAAACAGGACTCTTCTAGCCAAACAACAAAATTAGCATTTATAATATGTAAGCCAGTGTTAAGCCACAGCAATTGTAAATATGTGATCTTTACCTACCTGTGAATAGCTTTGTGTTAAAATTATACTCATCTCAGCTATTTGTTCATGATGGAAAATACACAAAGAAATTTGAAGAACTAATAATAGCTATTGCTTTTTGTTATGACAGTTGACTCTGCTATTTAATTGTTAGGTAAAATACCATTCTCTGCAACTGGAAACAATGGTAACTTTCTTTCATGCTATTGCAATTGCCTGATGAATCAGAGTCCTGGTAGGCTGCAAAGGCATAATAATAAAAGTGTGTCATAAATTTCTCTATGCAATTATCATATTTCATGCCTTATTATTAAATGGAACTTTGAATTTTTCTACTTAGGTAGAGTTATGATTTTTTTTTTAATAAAAGCTCTCTTATTCCAAGGTGTTACAATATGATCTGTGGTATACATGACTCCACGAGGGGGCTTGCATCACTTGTGATTGTAAGGGCTGAAACTCAGATGTGTATACTGGTCCATTGGCCTTCCTCATTTCCCCCACCTCCCTCATCCCGCCACACTCAAGCAAACAAATTCATCACAAATGATGCAGGTTGCTTTCTTCCCCATCCGCCTATTGTCTGAACCATCGTCTAGAAGGAGTTAGTTCAAGCTTCTGTGTCTGATTTGTGGTGCTCTGTGGGCATCACTCTATCTCCATTGCAAATGGTATCCCACGATGCCACTGGCTTTCTTTCACTTTATTAATTATTTATTTATTTGAGACAGGGTCTCACTCTGTCACCAGGCTGGAGTGCAGTGGCCTGATTATAGCTCACTGCAGCCTCGACCTCCTGGGCCCAAGAGATCCTTCCACCTTAGCCTCTTGAGTAGCTGGGACTATAAGTGTGTGCCATCATGCCCAGCTAAGTTTTACTTACTTTTTTCTTTTTCCGGTAAAGAGGTCTTAGGGTCAGGCTGGTCTCCAATTTCTGGCTTCAAGGGATCCTCCCACCTCAGCCTCCTGAATCATTGGGATTACAGGTGTGAAAGTACATAATTTTCTGGAAAATCTGAATATTTTAGGCTATGCAACTAAATACATATTATGAGTATTCAAAATGTATCTCAGAAGAATAATAAAATAGTCCAAAGGTATGTGTTGATTATTATCAACTTCTTGGTCTATGTTATTAGCGATAGACCATGAAATGGAGTTAATAACAAAGCAGAAAAACACAAAATGTGACTATACTAGGGAAATGGATCTTTGTCCTTAACAGATTCTCAATGCCAGGAGATTAATTTTGTAAGCACTAAAGGACCTCTTGTGACACTAGGTTAAACTGACTTTATGGAAATAATTCCTATCCAGTTTTGTAATAGAAGGTGATTTATGCTAATGTAATCCAACTCTATGGCTCTCCAGCACAAACTCTGTTGGTCTTATTAATGATATGGCCCAGTTAATAACCACTCCCTCCAGCTAGGGTCACACTTTCCATTTTTATATATTCCACTGCATTAGAGGGGTACCATCTACTTTTCCCCTGCTACTTGATAGCTATACCTTTTCATCACCTTAAGCATCTTTGCTAATGAGTCTTTAATACAAGAAAAATGCTATGGAAAAACACATCATGATTTTATTAAAATAGGTGTTACACCTGAGACAGAATCCTAAAGCCTGCAGAATTCTTACCACCGTAACTCACTAATACAAGAAAAATGCTATGGAAAAATACATCATGATTTTATTAAAATAGGTGTTACACCTGAGAGAGAATCCTAAAGCCTGCAGAATTCTTACCACCGTAACTCACTTATCAAAATAAATATGCATGCATGAGCTCTCCAGTTATTAAAAAATACATGCTTATTATGAAGTGTTAAAAAGTATGGGGAAGAGGAAAATATCCTGTAATTCCTCCACCAGAAATCCCATTAATAAAATAAACACCTATATACACACTTTAAAAATATAATTCTATACTACATTATATTATTGTTTCTTGAACATTTGTCCCTGCTGCTACATATTATATAGTCTAAATTCTGACTTTTCTGACTTTATCACGATTTGTTTGACCAGTTTTCTACTATTAGACAATTAGGTTGTTTATTTTTTACTCGTAAGATATAGGGATAAACTTCCTTTGATATAAAACATTTCATTTATTTGTTATCATTGCCTTAGGGTGTTTTTGTTTGTTTGTTTGTTTGTTTGTTTTTGAGATGGAGTCTCACTCTGTCACCCAGGCTGGAGTGCAGCGGCACAATCTCGGCTCACTGCAACCTCTGCCTCCTGGGTTCAAGCGATTCTCCTGTCCCAGCCTTCCAAGTACCCGGGACTACAGTGCATGCCACCATGCCCAGCTAATGTTTGTATTTTTAGTAGAGACGGGGTTTCACCACGTTGGCCAGGCTGGTCTCAAACTCCTGACCTTGTGATCTGCCCACTTCTGCCTCCCAAAGTGCTGGGATTACAGGCGTGAGCCACTGCACCCGGCTGGGTGTATTTTTAAAAGTAGCCTTTTTCATTCAAAAGGTTTGAACATTTATTGCTTCAATATGTATTCACAACTGGCATCTATAAAGTTTGCATTGATTTGCAGCTTTGCTATCAGTATATAGATTAGCATTTTTCTGCATTTGTACTAACATGGGGTATGAGATGTTTTAATCACATACATTGGGTGGTAAAAACTATATTTTACTGCTCTTCTGACATCTATTACTGCTATAATAATAAAATATTTTTATGTGTTTACTTGTCCTTTGCTTTTTCTTACATGTATTACTTGCTTATAATTTAAAAATTTTTCTATTGTAATGTTGGCATACTTCTCATTGACTTATATGGGACTTAAATATTAAAATGTATCATCACAGTTTGTTATATGCCTTTTAGATTTGTTTTATATTAATCTTTGCACACATTGTGAGCATTAACTCAGGGACAAATTGTATATAAAAAGGTCAGGAAATAGTTGGTAGAGTCCATTTGCAAGTAACTGGGATAAAAATGTAATTAGATTTTTCTATTTCAGCACAATATTCCTTATTTTTGAAATATACCTGAATAATAGATGTACAGCCCATTAACCATCTTGTCCAGGATATTCTAAAGGACAAGAGCACTTCATAATCATAATGATAATATAAAAGATAGTTAGGATTTCCTGAGTGCTTACTATGTGTAAGGCATGTGCCAGGGAGTTCACTTCCTGACAACTATCCCACAAAGTAGATATTCTATCTATCCCTATTTTATGAACAAATAAACTGATCGTTATACAGTAACATGCACAAGATTACAAAGCTAGTGTATGTTCTACCACAATTTTACTCCAGCTAAGATTAAAAATCAAGTTCATAAAATTACCTCCTGTTTTCAAGGTAGAAAGAGATTTTCTGCAATAAAATCTTAGAATTAATCTATTAAGCTGAACTGTATGAAATTATTCTTTTTCTTTTTTTTTTTTTTTTTTTTTTTTTTTTTTGAGACGGAGTCTCGCTCTGTCGCCCAGGCTGGAGTGCAGTGGCGGGATCTCGGCTCACTGCAAGCTCCGCCTCCCGGGTTCACGCCATTCTCCTGCCTCAGCCTCCCAAGTAGCTGGGACTACAGGCGCCCGCCACTACGCCCGGCTAATTTTTTGTATTTTTAGTAGAGACGGGGTTTCACCATTTTAGCCGGGATGGTCTCGATCTCCTGACCTCGTGATCCGCCCGCCTCGGCCTCCCAAAGTGCTGGGATTACAGGCGTGAGCCACCGCGCCCGGCCTCTTTTTCTTGTTCAATAGAGATTGAATATCAATATTATATAGTTCAAACTAATTAATTTAAAACTGGAAAAGACCATAGAAAAATTATATTTCAAATAATTGTAAAGTAAATTTTTGTTTTACAAAAATACCATTGTTAAAGCCCAATTAATGCATTTTACAGAGGTCAAAACTGAGACCGATAGAGTTTAAACAGATAAGTAGCAAAACGTTAAATTGGAACATGAAATCCAGCAATTTGTAAAAATAAAAATGTGTCATGGCCAAATGGCCTTTATCTCAGGAATGTAAAGGTGTTTGTTCATAAAGCAATGAAATCCACCATCTTGACATAACAAAAGAGAAGATTCATGTGATAATCTTATTAGATGCAGATATATCATTTGCCAAAATGCAACAAATACTCTCAGCAAATTAGAATTACAAGGGACCATTTTCAGATGATAAAGGGCACCTACCAAAATCATTAGCCTAATATTTCACCTAATATCAAAATACAGGAAAGGGTATGGGCTTTCCCCACTTTTATTCAGCATTGTGTTGGATTATCCAGGCAGTGCCATGAGGCAAGATAAAGAGAAAACATCATGGCAATTGAAAAGGAAGATGTAAAGTTGCCTTTATTCTTGGAGGTCATTATCATTTATATATAAATTACGTAGAAATTTACAAAGCAACTACCAGCAGTAGTAAGTGAAAATAGTGTGGTGGCGTGATGCCTGGTCAAAAAACAAAAAGAATTATATTTCGATACTATAACAGCAAAAACCTGGAAACATATAAATACTAAGGGATTTTTTAAAATGCTATTTAGAAGAGTATAAAAATCATAAAGTATTTGGGGCTAAGTTTAATGAAGGATGTAGAAAGCCTCCATGCTGTTTTAAAAGTACAGCGCTTTAAATAGAGAAATTAAAGAAAGATATCAAAGGATAGTTATACCATGCTCATGGATTGGACAATAATATGTTGTGAAGATGTCAGATATGTTGATTGTAGTATATACCTAAGGGTAGGGAAGCAATCACTTCAATGTTCCATAGACTCACTGGACCCGGTATGATATTGTCCTGGCCGTCATCCTCCCATTCTGAGAGGAGTTTGTGATAGAACCTCAGGTGTCAAGGAACCATAAACGCTGAACAATGTTTTCCATTATGTCCAGCTATTCTCCAGTGTATCGTTATCCATGTACAGTTTAATATGTTTCTTGGAAGAAGCACAGGAGGAATCATTACTGTACATACTTGTATGGTATGGCTGGGTATTTTCTCATGGAAATTTGGTCTCTCTGACAAGTTCAATTTCTGAAAATTGGCTTAATTCTAGAAATTGGGGGACAATTTTCAACATTATTTTGAGGAAGTATTTTTCAGCCACCTGATCATCAGTCTTTGAGTTTTATTATTGTATTATAGGAGGATCAATGTCCTTTGTTATTTTTGAATATGTGATAATTTTATCTACTTTTTGTTTTGTTTTGAATTTTAGCGCTAACTTGTCTATTATCTCCATTGCTACCAGGAAACCTGGATTAGAAGCATGTGCTGCTCTCAGACCTGGCCTACAGAGAAGAACTGACACAGACTTCCTTAGATGTGTTGTCTTCCTGTCACTGGTGCATTCCTTATCAATGTGGTAAGTAGTGTATCCTCTGGGCCCTCCAGCAGAACATGATTGACTAGTGAGTTTTCATATTGTCTCTAGCATATCTGCTTCTCTGAGAATTTTCATCCTTCTCTTTTCACTTGCTAAGGCAGTTCTAGTAGTTCTATTTCCCTTAGAGTGGCCCTGTCATTCAAACTTACAAGAACACTTTTAACTGAGCAGCGTTTCCTGGGTTCTCTCAGCAAGACATGGTCCACAGGGGTCTCATCCCTCCTGGGTGTTAGATCCACATTACAGGAGAGTCTCCAATGTCACCAAACTCTTCCAAATCTAATTCTGTGGTCTGACTATTGATCCAGCATCCTTGGGATCTAGTCTCATGAGTATTTTCCTGGCTCCTGCTGTTCATCCTGGAAATGATCATTTTTCTCCCTTTGGTTGGCCCAGTACTTCTAGTTTTTGATCCGGTGGCCAGGGAGAAAGGTCAGAGTAGATCCTTGTGAGGTGTGGTGAGCGGCAGGCTGCCCTGTAAAACAGAGGACTCTGTAGCATTATTAAGAATGGGGGGAGACCTAGCCTTTCATGTGATGCCAGCACTAACTATGATTAGTTTCATTTCATTCTCTATAATTCTGTGAAGCATGTATTATTAGATTGATTTTTCAAATGATAAAATTACTTTCAAATGAGAAAGTAACTTAACTTTTTGGAGGTACTAAAACCAGTTTTTGGGCAACTTTGATTCAAATTGAAGTAGCCTAGCTCCAGAATTCATGTTTAACCATCACTTCTTATTTTTGACTACCAAAGAAAATGAACTAAAATATTACCTGCTGTTATCAGAAAATTGTTACCAAGAATAAAAAAAAAAACCCAAAACAAAACACAGTAAAAATAAAAGCCACTGCCTCAACCTGTATTTTCCACATCCTTGAGGCATACTCACATCTGGTATCAAAACAAACTCTCAGATAGGACAAAGGAACTCATCATAAAGAAAACATAATTATTCCGTGTGGTATTTAATCACGGTGGTACATGCATTAGAAACATTTGGACCATTCGTTAAAACTGTAGGTTTGAGGGCCATGTATCTGATCTGCTGATCAGAATATGTTACAACAATTCCCTGAAGTCTGCATTTTTAAAAGCTCCTCACTCCCATGCCACCTTATTCTGATACACACTGTAATTTGAGAAAAAGTTACCTCACTAGGGAGGCACATAGAGTTAGTTACCATAATGTTATTCAAATAAAATATAATCTGAAAAGATTCCAAGTGGCGGTTGATCAAAGTTAATATGCGTTTATGAGAAAGCAGTTTATTCATTATAGGTTACAAGTGGTCCCAGGATGGTGGGAGGATAATGCAATCCTTTGAGGAAAGGAAATATTTAGGACTAAGTCAGATATTTTGGTGTCCTGGAGTCTAGAGCAGAGCCCTAGTCTAAGGCTGGGTAACTGAACAACTTAGCCAGTGGTCTATTGAGAATGAAACGCTGGTCTATGAATAGCTGTGACATCAGGATGCCTTAGGGGGTTCTGGGACTCGAGGCCTCTGCTGATGTTCATAGCTTGCATTTGATCATTAGGCCATTGGTCTTCCTGACATTATGTCTTAATTCAGAGCTCCAGAAAATAGAGAAATGAGGCAGCTTTGACTGCTAATTCAGCTCCATGGGGGACCTATTGGTAGACTTAGCACTGGGCTACAAGGGACCCAATGAAGGAAAACTGTGCACTTCTAGCAAAATAATTCCATCCTTTTATGTTTTATTGAGCTAGTTCTTCAATCCCTATTTTTAATAAAACAATTTAAAGGTAAACTGCATATCCATAAATAGTCCATCAGATGTTTGATTTTCCAATTTGTTTTATTGACATTTCCTCCCGTTTCTCCTTCCTAATATATTCTCAGCCACAGCCTCTCTTTATTTCTGGACAGTGTCAATGATGACTATTAGGTGCTTTTTTACTGAGCAGTCCTGGTTCATGATGCTACTGAAAAGATAGCTTTCAAATACTAACATACTTTGCCTATGACAGAGTTCAAAAGCAATTTCCTTCTAGTTGTAACAAAAGAATATTATTTTCATCACTGCTTCTGTGCAGAGTTATTTAAGGTGGTTGAGAAACACTGTTCCGTTCTTGATTTTTAAAATGTGATACGCAAATTATGCCATTTTCACAGCATGTTGCAAACCATGCTAGATTACTGACTGTAGTACCTTATTCTGATTGAGCTATTTGGTTTAGAAATGTTTCAGTGTGTGCTGTTGACCACCTTTCGTCTGTTTATGAAGCATCTATAAATGCTGCCTAATGAACTAGGATTGGTCATCGTTTCAAAACTTTCATGTATTTTCCAATGATTATTTAAATGTATTGCAAATCTTGGCATCTCAAATTCTGTCTTCAACTATTGACCTCTTAAATTTTGATTATTAGACAAATACTATTTCCTGGAAAGATCGTTTTCATAACCTTCATTGGGTGAGTTATGTCAGCTTATGAGAGCTATTTGAGATGTGTTTCAAGAACTCTTCATCCTTGTTCCCTTTTTGCTGCTAATGCCACATCTATAAAGATGTTAAAAATAGAGTGCACCTCCAGTAGATGTGTTTATAATTTCTTCCAGGTCTACCAAGGGCATTCCTAGAGTTATTAAACAAAAAACAGGTGAGGTAAAGTTCTAATTAAATTAAAGTGTCAGTTTTGTGTTAATGGAATTAGTGTTGTTTCCAGCCCTGCAGCATCTTCCAATGGCGGGACGATGAACTATTTATTTAATAGTCAGGGTTTTAGTCTTGATTTGGTCAGCAACTGATTTAGGAGTTTGTGCAATCCAGTTCCTTTATCTGAGCCTTTGTATACCTAGTCAAAAATAAAAACAATATGTAATGGGAAGGGGACCCAATCCAAGGTTCCTTACCTTCCATGTTGAATAAATGGTGTTATCCTAAGTTTGTATTGGAGAAAAATCATTTACAGAAATATAAATCCTCATTATACTTTGCTTCCTCCCCATATCTGGCTGGATTAGCTTTTTCATACTAACCTGACTTAACAACAATGGCTCTGGTTTGCCTACAGTGGTGATATGAACTCAGGGATGCGCATTCCTCATAGAAGATATTCTTTGTCACCCCCAACTGGGACAGCTTAAGAGGCCTAAATGTTGTGGGAAGAAAAGGGCATTTTCCAGGAATGAGTTACTAGTTATGTAGTTATAAGCTGGAGAGTGCATGTCTGGGCCCTGTCTTCTCTTGTGGACAATGGCAGGGCCCAGAAGTGCCCGTCAGCTCTGACACTGACCCACTGGCATGGTTGCAGAACCCTCCATTGCTGGCCACTCTCCCTCACTGTGCACTTGACCTAAATCACCACACCAACAAAGCCAGGCAATGTTCTGGAGGTCATTCCTCCACCAGCCAAAACAGGGTGGCTCTCCCCTTTAAGGACAGGCTTGGTGAGGTGAAGGCCTCTTCCCTGAACAAGAAGAAGGTCTCTGGAAGCACAGTTAACCCATTCCCTAAGAAAGCATTCTTTTCACCACATTTGATTAACACAAATGCCATTGACCTTGACTAGGAATAAGAGGGATTTTGCTTAGTTCCCAGATTAGGACAGAAAGCACACTTAGCATTTTTTTCCCCCCAGAAATGCACCTTTACTATGTATTACAAGCTTTCCAACAAATTTTGGATTCTTTGAGGGCATGCATGAATTTAGGTGACAGACAAAATGTGGTCGGAATGATAATGAACCCAAGTAAGATTTGCCTGATTTCAGGTTTCATGTTCTGTGCATCTCCATTGTATGCAACAAGGGTATCAGGTTAAATGCCAAACTTCTTCATAAGAGGAGCCCTTCCATTAAAAAGTTATACAAATAAAAGAACTCGCAAGGTCTCATTTATGTGTTTTTTCCTTTTTTTTTTTTTTCTTTTGGAAGCCTGTTCTTTAAACTTCACTGAACAGTTGGGTTACGCAGGGGCAGAATTTCATTTGAAGTGAAACTGGCCTAAATCATTCTTCCGGAACTCTGCCAAGGGCTAAATCAAGAATGTGTGGCATCCAGGTCCATTAGGGGTGAAATGTAACCAACTCCAAATGTTTTCTGCTTTCCTGATGGAAGGCCGCTTCATAAAGTGGCTGTTGAATATTAAACAGCCTTTTAGCCTGAAATAGAATCTCAATATTTCTCTAGTTTCTCTCATGAAAATATTGTTTTAAAAACATCAACAATAGATGGATACAATTCTTCACCTATTTTACCTTTACCAGTATATTGTTTATGGTAAAATTTTAAGTTATACAGTATAATTCACACTCTGCCATATAATATTTTTTTCTATTCTTTGAAAACAAAATAAATAGTAACTTTGAGACCTATGATAAGATGAAAACACATTATCATCTTTTTCTCCCTGATGTATAACCAACCACATTTAAATATATTGTATTTCTTTCTCATTTGACTGTTTTTTTTTATTCTGTGTTTCTATGTCTTTATGTACATGAAGGTATTTATATAAGCATAAATATTTACATGCACATGTGTATGTGAGTAAAAAATAAGAATTGCTTATTGTGCATTGCAATTTCCTGCATTTGTTCAAGTATGGATCTTAGATATTCATATGTTTAACAAATATTTATTTAACACCTATATGCCAAGCACTCTTCTAAGTTTGGGAGCTAATATTCTGCTTTCATGAATTTTATATTCTATTGAGTTGCAACATTATTGATTTTACAGTTACTATTTGGGATGAAGCACATACATTTGTGGCTTTCTACAGTATCAAAATTATTATAGGGAAAGTATAAGTAATTGAGGTTACTATTTTTTATGAGCTCTATTGCTTTATTTATACCAATTGCTAAGTGCAACTTGTTTTTGTCTTCATCAATTCCATTTTGCTACATTCTATAAATATAATCTTTATATAGGAAGCACCCTCTAACATTTATTATTTATATTTTAGATTTTAATATATATTACCTAGAATGAAAAAATAACACACAAATTTAAATAAACATACAGTCATTTATCTTCTAAATTAATTTGTTGACAGATAAGGTAGCATAGAGAATTTGTACTCAGTATTCCTAACATACTTTGAACTTCTTGAACATACTTTTCTCTGTTCAAATCAATCATACTTAATTGTTTATTGGATTATGAAAATTATGCAAGACAGCTTGTAATAATGTATAAGCTACAACAAGATGATACATTAAAGTTAGTGGTAAAATGAAAGTGAAGACGTGTAGAGGCATATATAGAGGCATACGTATGCAACTAAAAAACATTCCTGATCATGGATAACTTAGTTGATGTCCATGCTCCTCAACCATAGTCATAGTCAGAGAATAAAACGATTTAAGGATCTTAAGAATACAGACGCTAGGGTCCCATCCCACTGATTGGCCCCCTGAAGTGGTGGCCTCACCATGTTAGATTTTTAAGAATTTCAAAAGTGTTTCTAATCTATAGCCAAAGCTAGAGAACTACTATTTTAGTTGGATCATAGATTTGTCTCCCAGTTTCAGGGCAGACAATGCAGTGGAAATTTCAGTTATATTAGAGGATAAGCCACCTAATTAATAATGTTCATAAGGTTAAAAACAAGGCAATTTTTCAGGATAAGTGCATCATTTAGTGGTCTTAGAACTGAATGTATTTTTCCTAGGGCATGTTCATGGGAGGACAAACTGTCATAATGAACAGCATCCCTAATGGCATCTCTACAAGCAGTACATGATGACATCTGTGGGACTCTTTCTTTTAACTCCCTGATTAGTGATACCACATATGTTCCATTGCTATTAAGTTTTCCAAGCACCTGTATTATTAAAAAAAATTAGAAAAAGTGCCAGTCTGTGGAAATCTTTTGCACCAAAATATACGGAAGTATTACATCTAGCATGTTTCTAGTTGACATTGATCAGTTGCACACTAATTCTCACTGTATTGATTATGTTATGTTGAACAAAGGACTCCCATCACTAGAATTAACAAGGGAAACAGCCTATAAAATTAATTAGGGAAGAAGGAAGGGTAAAATTAATCCCAATAAATGGTAAGGAAAGGATTTATTTTAGTAAGACTTGTACATTTTGCACCAGCAAGGTTAATGTTTTATAAGTATCATTAGTCTCTGTAAAGGGTTGATACTAGGAAAAATTGAAAATGATGAAGCTTTGAAGTCTAATCTATATTCCTTTAGCCATGGTTTTGGAATTAGACTTTATGCATTATCTAATTTAGAATTAGGCTTTATGCATCAACTTTCTATGTCTATGTCTACATTTTTTGGTGTGGCAGAATCAGTATTCCCATCAAAACAAATTAAAAAGGTAGCATTATTAGGAAGCATGAAATATTTAACATTAAGATTACAAAAACAGATTGTAAAAGTTTAATACTGTGACCTTCAAAAGGATGTGTTATAAAATACAGAAATCAACACCCTTCCTCAGTGTTGACTGGGGAGTCAATTATCAGTGTCATTATGCCTGAGGGCAGATCACTGATCATTTCTATTATCATAGCTATGATTGCTGTTGCTACAGTTCCTAAACACTACTCAAACCCTATCGTAAGCACCCACCATTTCCTGGGTCCCAGTTTCCAGTGATTTAGGAGGACGAGGTTGGAAATCAAAATTTGAAAGGTTGCCAAACCTCAGTGTCAATGGATTCTTTTTTATGAAATATTTGCTGTAAAAGACACTGTAAAATAACTCAAAAAATACATTCATATTTATTAAAGTAATGGCATCTCAAATTTTATGCTAAAAATCTTTTTATTTCATGTGCAGCAAAAGCCTAGAGTAAAAGCCTTCAGGGCCACTGTAAACATTTTGGAAAATCATGGCTGGCACTGCAAGTCCAAGTACCCGTGGGGTCTCTACTGTCTTGAGAGACATGGTGAGCTAAACTCTCAGTACTACTAAGAAGGACTCACAGTATGAGGACTAAAATTTTTGAAAAAAAGAAAATTTGAACACATGTGAAGGAAAGGAAAATTTTGAAAATGACTGCTCTATTCTCCGAAGTTGTTAAAAATACTTCCTGCAAGTTGAAAAATGGAAAAAAAATCGGCTCTTGTGGGCTCCTTTTTAGCTTCTATTTTCAGTAAAATGGAATGCTCTTTGTGTAGCAGGATTTAGTGATACTTAGATGTGCTTGAACCCAGGTATGCAAGAGGGGCTCAGAAGAATAGAAGGATCCAGACTGCTTACTGGCAACCTGATAGAGAGCTACACCTAAAAAAAAGACAAAAACCACTGTAAGGCAATGAGCACAGCTGTAGCAATCATAAAACAATGAATGGAGAAAAATATCAAAGGCAAGTGTGGCAGAAGTGTTGGTAAAATTATTGATCAATTTAGGCACTGATCCACTGAAGCAGCACAGGAAAACAAAACAAAGCAAAAGCAGGAATATTTTCTAAAGTCTAAAAGTGATGTGCTCACTTTTCTTATGAAGAACAGGAAAGGGAGCATGAGGCACTTGATGGACTTGTGTATTAGAGTGCAACTGCTCAGAATTAAAGACAACTTTTCCCAGGGTCCAAACATCTTTGTCCTGCTCCTCCTGCTGTGAGCTGTGGATTCTGCCATCTGTCTCAGAGTTGCAAGATTACAAGAAAGCTGTGAGCCACGGTTGTTGTCTCATCTGAGGGTCAAATGGGGAAGGATCTGCTTCCAAACTCAGGCAGCTGTTAGCAGCGTTTACCTTCATAAGGGTGTTGCAGTGCGATAGAGGCTGCTGTAATCTGCTTTCAATGGGGTCCTCTCCACACACCAGCTTCCAGTCCACAGCTTGCCTCTTCAGTCTCCAAAAGAAAGAGTCCCCTGGCCTAATGAAAGCCACATCCTCCATGATGTAATCACATATATAAACAGAGACATCTATCACATTTGCTGCCTTCTGTTGATTAAAAGCAAATCACAGGTCACACTCAAGAAAACGAGAGGGGATTCCACACGGAGAATTCACAAAGCTGTGACTGCTAGTAGTCAGAGACCATTCGGTCACCTTATTGTCTGTCCAACACAAATATAGATGCAAAACTCTTAATAAAATGTCACCAAGTAAAAACAAAAATATGCAGAAGAGACTATATATCATGACTAAGTGGGGTTTGCCACAAGAATGCAAGATTGGTGTAATATTTAGAACATAACCAATATTAATTCTCTATGTTAACAGAATAAAGCAGAAAAATCATATGAAAATCTCAATAAATGAAAAAAGGCATTAACATAATTCAACTTTCATTAGTGATAAAAGCTCTTGACAAACTAAGAATAGAATGAATCTTTCCTAACTTAAAGAAGAGCATCTAAGAAAAAACCTCAGCTTGTATCACATTTAATGTTAAAATACCTAATGCTTTCTACCTATGATCAGGGGTAAGGAAGGATTTTTTTCTCAGAACTTTTGTTCATCATTGTACTAGAGATTCTAGCTACTAGGGAGGTTGAGGTGGGAGAATCACTTGTGCCCAGGAGGTTGAGGCTGCAGTGAGCTATAATTGTGCCACTACATTCCAGTCTGGGTGACAGAGTGAGACCCTGGCTCAAAAAAATAATAATAATTGACAAGCTGGTTGATATTTTTGTGGAAATGCAAAAAACCTAGACAAGTAAAAACATTCTTCAAATTGGAGAAACAGGATGTAGAACTCATGACACATAATATAAAAATATAGCAGTAATTAAGACAGTGTGGTAAAGATAAAAGTTGCATCAATGGGACAGAATAGTCCAGACGATGACCCACATTTTGTTCCTTTGCACAACCTTGTGGTTCCCTTCCAGGGTGGCTCCGCACTCAGCCCTGTGATCACCTGAGTAATGGGAAGTCAGTGAGTGCAGTGCCTGCAGAGGGAGCATGCTTGCCAATCACCATCACCCACTTTTGCACTTGTGCCAGAGGATGTGCCCAAGCCAACCTGAGAAAGATGAAAGACACATGGCTCAGACACTCCATTACCCCATCCCAGGGCCATTAACCTGCCAGGCATGTGAGTGAGCCTGTCTAAAACAGCTCAGCTGAGCCTCGTCTAAATTGAAGACTTGCAAAGTCATGGGTGAAATGAGAATTTATTATGTTAAGTTTTTTGTTAATGATGGTTTTGAGGTCATGTGTTAATGCGGCATCATTTTGCTGTAGGTAAGTGATGTCCTTATAATTAAATTTGTAAGTGCTTATCAATGTATTTGTACTTACAATCTATCTCAAAATCTCACCTCAAAGAAATTCTCATTTCTTTACTTTAAAAGGTTATTAGTATTATTGAGGTATTTTGGTGTATGGGGGGTAGTAGTTATTTGGAAAGCCTTGTCATTCATATTATGGGTTTGATTTTTTCCCGTTGGTAGCACAGCAGTCCACTTTTCTAGTACTAAAGCTTGTGTTGCTGCTGGATCCCAAAAAGTAGCATGAGATTTGGAGAGGGTATTGTACACAAATAATTGAGTTCCAGTAAAATTTTCTAAACATCCATCTGATTTGTTTTTTTCCACCAGAATCCAAAATTCTTATCAAGTTATCTTCAATCTATGCAAGGAAAATATTTATCCCAAAGGAGGATTTTCAGAAGATGACACATGAGGGGCATTCATCACAGTCAAGTCTTTTGTTTTGAAATACGGAATCTGCATACCTACTGCTTTCCAAGTTTTGTAAAAAAAAAAGAAGAAAAAAGCAAAATGCTCTGAGAATTATCTAATTCATTTTTGCATAAAGAATTTCCATTTTCTATTTTTCCGTTGTCTAATTCACTTGCATAAAGAATTTTCTTTTTCATGTTTCAATTCACATCTAACAAATGTTATCATACTTTTTCAAATACTCTTTATTTCATTCACTGTAATTCCAATTGGCTTAGTTAATAATCTTACATGTGTAAACCATCCTCAGCCTTTAAATAAGGTTCTTGTTCTGGGATTAAAGAAAAATTTTAATCAATCAATTAATTACTAATTGCATTTTGCATTTAGCACCTACTGCCTCTGAATTTTTTAACTGAAAATATACCTACTCTTATATTTTTATTTTAGCGTTTATTTTTCAAGTCTGCTAGTGACAATCCAAATTATATTTTTTAATCCAGATATTTTTAATTTAGAAATTAGGAGAGGAATTTTGGTAAGCCACACTATCCTCTGAGGAGCAACTGAATATATTAGAATTCTAAATGGTACCACACGATGGGAAAAAAATGGCAAAAATAATCCCAAAGTCTATATTATGTTGAAAACTTCAAATGAAATTCTAAGTCTTCACTAACTGAATGGACTCATTTTTGGCCCAGCGGATGCCAGAAAACCCTTAAGATTGAATTCCTGGACATGACAGGATGGGCGGTGAGGTATGGCTCATTATACTCCCTCACTTTTGGGGTTTAGACACAACTGACCAGCATAGATGTTAAAATACAGATTATAAGAATGGCAGAACAGACTCTCTGACAATACGATATCAAATTATAAACAGAACCTAAACCCATGGCAGGCGAGGTTTAAGTCACTTACCTACCCTTGAAGAATAAGCTTGTTCTCACTGCCATAGCTTTTTTTTTTTTTTTTGTCTTTCTCTAGCAGCTAAATAAGCACTGGCCTGGAGATAAGCACTAGTGAAAGAATTTGCAGCTCATCCACTGCTGGACCCTGATTAAGTGACCCCCTGTTCCACAAGCCATGACTCCAGCTTTGACTGGACAAGAGACTGATTTCAGTAGCTTTTTTTCATATAAGAAGACCATTGACTGTGGAATGATTCCAGAGGCTGCACACTGTCAGGACTTCATGTCCTGAAAAGACCTTTTGACATGTACGGCCTGATTGCAATGCATTTGAATGTTGTCTCCACCCTAAAGTGAACATGGATCATATGTTACATGCACGTTTGTTCAATGCCCATGTGGCAAGACCCCTTGATGAATATTCGTAACTCCTCCTGTAACCTGTTGAATATGTATGTCCTACCCCAACCCCTCCTCCTTCATGGTGCCTGTCTTTGGTCTTGACTAGAGGCCAACCTGCAGGTTGGCCACCTGGCAGGCTGTAACCCTAAGAAATAAAAACTTCTTTTCTCCTTTTCAAAATGTATAAATTGTGATTTCTATTAAGTCAACAATGTCCAGGAATAATGTTATTCTTGAGACAGTTTTATGATCTGAGCTTTGTTCAAAAACTGGAAAAGTTACAAAGTAAAACCATAATTTTCTTTAGTGGGTTAACTGTGTGCCAATTTAAATTTAATTTTTTCAGCTGTGTTGAGGAAAAATTTATGCCTCCGAAGCTGCACATGTAGAAATTTCACAATTTGAAGAATTTTCACATATGTATGCTGGGTGAAACCACACCATAATCAAGATACCCAACATTTCTACCTTCCCCAAAAGTTTCTTCACACCGTTGTGCATTCATCTCTTCATTCAACCCTTTCTCTGCAATCAATGGTTTACTTCTCGTCAGTATGGATTAATTTGCAATTTCAAGAATGTTGTATAAATGAAATTATAGAGCAGTACGTTTTTGTCTGATTTTATTCACTCACAGAATTATTTCAAGATCCATCCATATTGTTGCATGATTCAGAAGGCTGCTCTTTTTATATTGCTGAGTAGTTTTCAATGGAATATACTACATTTTGTATATCCATAAGCCTATCATGTGCATTTTGGAATGTTTCCATTTTTTTGGTAATTGCAAATAAAACTGCAATGAACACTCATGTATAAGTCTTTGTATAGACATGTATGGCTTTCTTTCTTGGGTAAGTAATTACTAGTGGCAGAGCTTCTAGTTATAGTAGGTTGCTGTGGTATGAATGTGCATCCCTCTAAAATTCACATGTTGAAATCCCCTCCTCTAAAGTGATGATATCAGGAGGTGGGGCCTTTGTGAGCTTATTAGGCCAAGAGACTATAGTCCTCATGAAAGAGATTAGTGCTCTTCTTTATATACATATATGTATGTATTTTTTAAATTATACTTTAAGTTCTAGGGTACATGTGCACAACGTGCAGGTTTGTTACATATGTACACATGTGCCATGTTGGTGTGCTGCATCCATTAACTCGTCATTTACATTAGGTATATCTCCTAATGCTATCCCTCCCACCTCCCCTCACCCCACAACAGGTCCTGGAGTGTGAGGTCCCCTTTCCTGTGTCCAGGTGTTCTCAATGTTCAATTCCCACCTATGAGTGAGAACATGCGGTGTTTGGTTTTTTGTCCTTGTGATAGTTTGCTGAGAATGATTGAACAGGCAACCTACAGAATGGGAGAAAATTTTTGGAATCTACTCATCTGACAAAGGGCTAATATCCAGAATCTACAAAGAACTCAAACAAATTTACAAGAAAAAAAAAACCCCGTCAAAAAGTGGGTGAAAGGTATGAACACACTTCTCAAAAGAAGATATTTATGCAGCCAACAGACACATGAAAAAATGCTCATCATCACTGGCCATCAGGGATTAGTGCTCTTCTAAAACAGACTTCAGAGAGCTCCCTCACCCCTTCTGCCATGTGAGGACAGTCAGAAGGTGCCGTCCATGAACCAGGAAGCCGGTCCTCACTGGACCGCGAATCTGCTGGCACCGTGATCTTCAACTTCCAGCCTCCGCACCTGTGAGAAATAAATTTCTGTTTATAAGCCACCCAGTCTGTGGTGCTTTGTTGTAGAAGCCCAAGTAGACTACGAGATAGATGTATTTTTTACTTGTCAAAAAGAATTGCCAAATTTTTTCCAAAGCTGTCACACCATACTCACCCACTGTTTGAGAGGTATGTGTGTCCTATGTCCTCACCAGTCCTTGGTGTGGTCACAGTCTTCAGTCTTTCCAGAAGGTGTTTGGTAGTAGCTTGCCTGTTTTAGTTTTAGGTTTTATATTAATGTCTGTGATCCATTTCAAGTTACTTTTGGGGTTTCTACGGTGTGAGTAAAGCACCTGTGTCTAATTTTCCAGCATCATTTTTTGAAATAACTTTCTGCTTCCCATTGAATTGCCTTGATATCTTTGTCAAAAATCTACTTAACATACATGTGTAGGTCAACTTCTAAACAAGTAGTTCTGAATTAAGGGTAATTTTTTGCCCAGTTGCCCCCTAGGGAACATTTGTTAATGTCTGCAGACAATTTTGCTTGTCATAACTGGAAGATACTACTATTAAATAGCATTTGTATATAGAGGTCAGAGATGCTGATAAAGTCCTACAAATCACTGGGCAGCCCCACAACAAAGAATTATCTGTCCCCAAATGTCAACAGGCCAAGATTGAGAAGCATTCTCTACACATTCTCTGTAGTTTCATAGACATAGTCATCTGTTTTTTCACCAATACCACATAGTCTTGTTTACTGTAGCTTTAGAGTCAGTTCTAAAATCAACTGGAATAAATCCTCCAACTTTCTTCTGCTTTAAAATAAATCACTTTTTATATTTTATCTTTATATATAAAAAAACTATAGTTTTTTATATTTCCATGTGAGTTTTAGATACAACTCATCAATTTTTATAAAAGTCATGCGTGTATGTGTGGGTCTATTTCTAGGTTTTCTATTCTGTTCAATTTATCCACGTGTCTATCCACTATGAATTACCACACAGTTGTGATTAGTGCATCAACATAAGCCTGGAAACTGGATTGATTCCTCCCACTTCATTTTTCCTTTAAAAATTGTTTATTTATTCCTATGTCTTTCTACATAAGTTTGAGAATAAACTTGTCTGCATCCACAAAAATTTTGCTGGAATTTTGATAGACACTGGATTGAATCTGTATATAAACTTGGAGATGACAGGCGTCTTTACTATGCCGTCTTCCAATCCATGGTTATGGTATGTGTCCTCAGTTATTTAGCTCTTTAATTATTTCATTAGCATTTTAAAGCTTTCAGCATACAAGTCGTATAGTCCTACATATATATATGACAGGGTCTCACTCTCTCTCATCTAGGCTGGAGTGTAGTGGTGCAATCACAGCTCACTGGATCTTTGAATCCCTGGGCTCAAGAGATCTTCCCGTCTCAGCTATCGGAGTAGCTGGGGCTACAGGTATGTACCACCATGCCTGACTAATTATTATAATTATTTTGTAGAGGTGGGATCTCTCCATCTTGCCCAGGCTGGTCTCAAATTCCAGGGCTCAAGCAATCCTCCTTCCTCAGCCTCCCAAAATGTTGAGATTACAGGTGTGAGCCACTGTGCCCAGCCCTATATAAGCTTTATTAAATTTATGCCTATTTCTTTTTAAACAATTTTAAATGTTATTTTATTTTCAATTTTCTTGTTCATTGTGTTCATTGTTAGCCTTAAAAATACACATAAATTTTGTATGTTTATCTTGTATTCTGTAATAACTGAGTTCAGTAACTAGTTCTAGAGTTTCATTTTGTTTTGTTTAGATATCTTGAGATTTTCTATGTAGACAATGAAGTCGTGTGTAAAATAGAGAGTTTTATTTTTTCATTTTTGTTTTGTGTCCCATCAATTTTTTCTTGCATTATTGCATTAACAGGAACTTCTAGTAATATGCGAAATAACAGTGGCAAGAATAGAGATTTTGGCTTGTTCCTCATCTTAGGGGGAAAACATTCAGTCTTTCATCATCAAGTAGAACAAGCTGTAGAGTTGTTTTCATTTATGTTTTTCAGTAGAAACTCTTTATAAAGTTGATGAAGTTCCCTTCCATTAACATTTTTCAGAGAATTTTTAACATGAATAAGTGATGACTTTTGTTAAAGGCTTTTTTCTGGGTCAATCGTTAAGAGCATATGCTTTTCTTCTTTAGCTTGGCTTGTTAATATGCTGGATTGCATTACTGGATTTTCAAATATTGAACAACCCTGTCCCTGGAATAAACCCACTTGGTCATGGTGGGCAATTCTTTCCAATATTGCTAATTTTTACTTGTTAATATCTTGTTAAAGATTGTTGATTGTAGTGCTTATATTCTGGAGGGATATTAGTCTGTAGTTTTTGTGTACTTTCTTTCTGAGTGTTGGTATCATGGTAAACCTAGCTTCATAATATAAATTGGGAAATGTTTTCTCCTCCATTATTTACTACAAAAGATGGTATAGAATTGATGTTAATTCTTGTTTAAACATTTGGTGAATTCTTCAGTGACACCATATGGGCCTAGGAATTTCTTGTTAAGGGGGTTCTTACATTGTCAATTTGATTTCCTTCATAATTGTAGGGCTATTCAAATTATCTACTTCATTCTGGATACACTGTGGTAATGTGTGTTTTTTGAGACATTGGTTTACTTCACCAAAATCATCACATTTACAGGTGCAGAGTGGTTTGTTATCTTCCCATATTATCCTTTTGATATCTGCAGTTTGTAATGATGTTCCCTGTTTCATTTCTGATATTGGTAATTTTCATCTTCTCTTTTTGTCATTTTTACTAGAAGTTTTAGTGATCTTTTCAGAGTACCAGCTTGTTACTGATTACTGATTTTTTCTCTATTTTTCTGTTTTCCATTTCATTGATTTTGCTCTTATCTTTATTATTTCATTCCTTCTGCTTGTTTGGAGTTACTTTTCCTTGAGGAGATAACATAGATTATTGATTTAAGCCTTTCCTCCTTTCTAATATATGCTCTTAGTGCTATAAATTTTCATCTCACATTCCTCTAGCTGTGCTCCACAAATGTTGCTAGGCTGAATTTTCATTTTCATAAGTCCAATGTATTTCTGTAATTCCCCATGAGACTTCTTTGATTCATGGGTTATTTAGTCATGTTTACTTTCCAACTGTTTGGGAATTGTCCTGTTATGTTTATGTTATTAATTTCTAGTTTTATTCCATTGTGATCAAATAGCACAATGTATACTTTCAATTGTTTTAATTTTTTGAGGTTAGTTTTATGTCCCAGGAAATTATCTATCTTGGTTTATGTTCTGTAGACACTTTAAAGGAAGGTGAATTCTGCTGTTGTTGGGTGGAATGCTTTAAAATGCCAGTTACCTGTGGTTACTGAATGATGTTGTTAAGTTTTACTATATTCTTGCTAATTTTCTAATTTTTCTACCAGTTGTTGAGAGAGGAGTGTTGAAGGCTCAACTATAATTGATATTTTTTTTTTAAAAAAATGATCCTCTGTAACCTTTATAAGCTTTTGCTTCAGATATTTTGTTTATAATATGTGTGGTGCATACATTTCTAGGATTGCTGTTTTCTTAGTGGATGACCATTTATTAGTATATAATGCTCATGTCTGCATGTAAGCATTTTATTTGCTCTGACGTCCACTTTATTGAATATTAACACAACCATTACTATTTTTTGAAAATTGGTACGTGCATAATATATGTTTTTCCATCCTTTTATTTTCAACCTGCCTCCATCCTTATATTTAAAGGGAGTTTCTTACAGATAGCATACATTTGAGTCATGTTTTTTGGGGTCTGCCAACCTTCGTCTTTTAATTGTATTAGGACCGTTGTCATTTAATATAAAGATTTATGACAGAGCTTAAATTTGCATTTTTGCATGTGTTGTAGTGTGTTCATAGCGACTCCTTCAAGCATTTTTATAATGACCACTTTAGAATCTCTGAAGCTTTGACGTGTCTGACTTCCAGTGTGTGTGTCCATCGCTTGCCTTCCTTCATTCTCTATGAGACTCTGCTGTGGTTCTTGTTGTAACAGTTGTTTACACTGAAATCTGGATATCTTGGTTATTATGCTTTGGGATTTTGGATAATAGAGACATTTTTTGTTTTAGCTGGGTTCTTCCGGCTGCTCCATCAGGGGTTGGCTGAGCACCATGCTGTTACTGTCACCTGTGGGTATACAGTTTAAGTTTCCTATCTGTCTTCATTAGCAACCGTGGAGGCGATTCCCTGGTACAGCTGGGGGTGGGACTTCTGGTCCTCACTAGGCTTCCACTGGTGAATTCCTGATGAAGGGAACAAGCCCCTCTTTACTGCTTCCACGTGGCCCCTGGTGATGCCATTTGAGGGAGTTGGACTTGCTGCTGGGTGTCCCGACTCACCGGAGCCTCACCTGACACCGCAGGGTCCGGGGCTGTGTCTCCCCATTGTGCCTGGTGGGGCTCTGCACTCAGCCCTGGCTGGTGGGGGCATGGGTGGGCCTGCAGTTTATTAGGTGATGTTTGGCTACAATGGAGCATTTTCTTCTCAAAACATTCTGTCTTGCAAGGCTGCTCTTTTCAGATCCTTTTTTTGGTCATTTATTGCCTGTGACCTTTGCGATTTCCAGGTTTCTGCAATTTTCAGCTCCAATTGTGGTTTCTATCTGGGAGAAAGAAAACCCGAGCATTTCACCCCCATGGTTTATCTGGAGTCCTGGGCTCACTCACTCATCCGCCTCTTCTCTCCACCTTAAGAGTCTTTCTGTGTTTATACGTATATAAAACATTTAAGATTTTTGTTGTGCTTAGTGGGAAGAAAAGGGGAAAGCATAAATACTTTATCATCCCAGAAGTAGAAGCAATCTTTATTTTTTAAATGGGTTAAAGTGTCCTTTGGAGGAAAGTCTCTGGGTTCAAAAAGCTTTCCTAAAGTTCACATGGGAAAATTCAAATCAGAATGATCAGTCAAATAAAATATATCATAAAATTGAAATTTCCATGAGACTCACATTAAAAAGTCATTTAATGAAGAATATACATGTAAGAGCAATGTGTGAGCACCATTTAGTTTTATTATGCCTCTACCAGCCAAAAAACTCTCTAGGTGGAACTGACAGAGAATGAATGAAAAATTTTAGTATTTGAGGGTCATTATATCCCACTCATGCTTAATTCCAACCAGAGATCACATGCTTTGCATTCAATTTACACCCAATGGCAAGTCTGCACCTCATCTGTAGTCCGAACTTTGTCAGAGGATATAACAAAATGTGTGATAACAGGTACTGTTTCCCAAAGATTGAAGAATTTACATATTACATTCTCTAAATTCTTGTGTTTTATTCTTCCTGTGTATTAGTTATATGTGATAGTATGATTTTATATGTGTATATATAATAAATATATATAATAAATACATATAGATATATCTATATACATATAATCTCTATATATATAGAAAACTAATATATATAACTATATATATATAGAAAACATATATATATATATATTTTTTTTTTCATCCACCATTCCTGGCTCATAACTCCCATAACCCTAGTCACATCTTTTGTTGTAATGTTGGGGTGCTTTAGGCCTCAGGAGCAGGCTTCAGGAAACAGAATCTCTCACTCTCTCTGATCTTCTCCAATCCTCCTTTCACCTGCCCTCTTGGCAGGACTCTAATCTGACTCTCACTTCAGAGAGGGTCCTGTCCCATACCCTGGAGGAAGGAACACTGGACAGACACTCTGAAAGAGTCTGAACAGACAGGCCTGGCTGGGTTTAGATCACACGTTTTTGTGAAATCACATTTCCACTCAGTCATCTATGCTTCAATCATGGACAGCCAAAGAAGTCTCCCTAAAAGGCCAAAGGACAGGGTTCAAGAGATTCTGGAGAGCTGAACACAACTCCATGGGGACACAACCTGTGCTCAGGGTTCTTCCAGACCTCACCCCATGCATCTCTTCTTCTGGCTGTTTATTTCTATCCTCTACATATCCTTTATAATAAACCAGGAAACGTGCTTCCCTGAGTTCTGTGAGCCTCTCTAGCCAACTAACCAAACCCAAAGAGGGTGTTGCAGGAACCCCATTGTAAAACTGGTTGGTCAGAAGTTCTAGAGGCCTAGACTTGCCTGTTGTCTGACGGGAAGGGAGGAGAGCCCTGGAGACTGAGGAGTCCTCAAGCTGCGTGGGATCTGATGCCGCCTCCAAGTAGATGTTGGCACTGAATTGGAGGACACCCAGCTGGTGTCCACTGCAGAAATGAGTGCCTGCTTGCTGGTGGAGAGAAATCTCCATAACTCAGAAGTCTTCTGTGTTAATGATTGTTTTTGTTTTGGTGTGAGAGCAGAGGAAAAACATAGTTTGAGTTTTTTCCAGATGTTATACCACTTGCTTAATATTTTACTTTAAAACTAGTGTAATATAAATTTTTAAAAACTTCAACAAGGAGAAACATATATTATAAAAGCTATAATATGTCAGGAAAACATAATTTATTATATACATGTATAAATAATTAGAATTACAGAAATAAACTAATGTAACACATATATATAGAGAGAATATATCACATATATAGAGAGAATATGTTCACATATACATAGAGAGAATACATTAACAAATAAAATTTTATTGTCAATAAAGGAGAATGAGCTTAATTTTTTTAAGTTCTTAGGTTCTACTTCCAAATTTGACAATTATTAAATAATATAATTTTTAATATTTTCAATATGTAATAATAATCCCACAAACAGCTGTTTAACATAATGCAACATAAGCCAAAATTAATAACCAAGTTACAAAAAGCTCTCTTCTAAGTGACTATGAAAAATAAATCAAAACTTTTATTACAAAATAATTAGAGATTGATGATAGAATATTGTATATCAACAGACATAAAAGGCTGTCTCCTACAAAGACGAAACATGAAAAACTTTTAGCTCAATGTGCTAGAAGAAATTCACAGTGTAAATTTTAAAGAGATAGAATGCAATCAATATACATACAAGAAGAATACATATATTAGAATATTTTTAAAACAGAATGGATAATTTGAAGAATTACTTGGATAACATTTGAGGGTAATTAGTACTTTTTTTGGAGTTCCAATTCCAGTTAAGATGGGAAAGAACTTCTAATTTCTGCTAAAATGTAAGAAACTTCTAGATAATCTGCCATGTCATAATGTTCTTGAAGGCATCAGAGTTGGAGATACATAGATATATTTTTAAAAAGAATCAACAAACCAACCAAATAAACAAACCCACTAAGTCCCAAGGATACAGCCTTCCCAGGTGAAAAGTGACACAGAAGCCTTTATATTTGGGACCTGCTGGGGACCTTGGGAGGCAGTGCAGGAAGAGTTGTGGACCTAAAATAAAACCTAGGTTTGCTTGAATTAGAAAAGATCAACCAAAATCAATAAACCTGTGGTCTGATGCTTTTTCAGGTTTGAATCTGGACAAGCCTGAATGCAAAGATATCCAATATTAATGGGAACATTGCAGAGAAACCAAGGCTGGGAGGAATTGGGAGGCAGAAGAGAGCTTTCCTCTCAAGGCGTCAGTGTCTCATGGTCTCAACCTGGTGGTCTCCTAGTCTCATGGATTTTGAAGTTAAGAAGACTCAACATCTCACAGTCTTAAAGTCTTCAGGTGGCAAAATAACACATCTTTTGATTGACTGTATGAAATTGATCAGCCTTTCACGCACATATCACCCTCACGTCCCCGCAGAAGGAAGGTCATCTTCCCTTGGTTGGTGGGAAATGCATGTGTGTGTGCATTTGCACGTGTGTGTGTGTGTGTGCATGTATTGCATATTTTCTACTTTATCCATGGCTTCTACTTCAAAAATACACACAGCATATAATAAAAGGTTAAGAGTTATGCACCTTTGCAAAAGAGACCAATAATCAAGAGGAAAAAAGCAAACAGAAACAAACTTTTAGATGACACAGATGTTGGAATTCTTTGACAAAGATTTTGAAATAACTACAATATGTCATAGAATCTATTCATTAGGAAGAAAGATGCACCAGTTAAAAAGGTAGAGAACCTCAGGAGATATTTAAAAATTATAAAAATAAAATTATTTGAAACTTTTAGAATTGAAATTTCATATCTGACATTTCTTGATTATTGAATTAAAAAACTGAAACTGAAGCTATAAAATTAAAAAAAGAAAAATTTTATGATCTTGGCTTACGTAAAGATTTCTTAGATACAAGACTGAAAGCAAAATCCATAAGAGAAAAAATTGATAAATTGGATTTTACTGAGATTTAACAAATGCACTTCAACAGACACTGTTAAGAAAACAAAAAGACAAACCACACACTGGGAAAAAATATTTGCACAGCACATATCAACAAAGAACTTGTACCTAGATTATAAAAATAATTCTCAAAATAAAATAACAATAGAAAGGGCAAACTATTTAAACAGACTCGTCCCCAAATAAGACATGTCCATAGCAAATAAACATATGAAAATATGCTGAAACATTATTAGTTTTAAAGAAAATGCAAATTAAATGGCAATCCAGTACCACTGTACTAGAATGGGTAATTCTAACTAAAATGATTAAATTAAATTAAATTAAAGTGGTTGACCACACCAATGACTGACAATAATGTGTGGGTCAATTGAAACTATCATATGTTGCTTTTGGGGGTGTAAAATGGTACAGTATGTTTGGAAAACTTATTGGCAGTTTCTTACAAAGGTAACCTACCTTGACCCTATGATCCAATGATTTCGCATCTGTGCATTCACAGAGAGAAAAGGAAATAAGTGTCCTTAGAAAGACGTGTGTTAGGTTGAGGAACTGTTTGGAGCACAGAATTTGGGGCCAGCACAAAGAGGGAAGGGTGTAAAGAAATAGGTGGGCGTGAAGCCACCTCCATAAACTTTGTAGATTAATCAGAGAAGAAGGGCTGGGAAGAAATGGAAAGGAAGCAAGTTTGCAACACGTTCAGTGTTAATCCTAGGTCAGCTGCTTTCTGACCTGCTTCCTCATATTTGTTCAGTTCCCATTGTCCTAGAATCACATGGACCCTGCTACATGATTATAGGTCCCTTTGACTGCTCAATAGATTACAACTTGAACATTATGAAACGTTGTTTTCCCTTTGAGACATTTCTTCAGGTCCTGCATACTGATGAAACCTCTATGTCAGCTGTTTCCTTATCCTGATGATTTTACCTCCCTTGCCCCCGATGAATCAACAGCCTCAACTTTCTAGCCCCTTGCTGTCTATAACCCCCTTAAAAATCCCAGCCCAGAACTCATCAGGGAGATGGGTTTGAGGGTCTCCTCCCATATTCTCAGTGGGTGCCCTGCAATCCTTAAACTCTGTCTCTGCTGCGGTCTCAGTGTAATGGCTCTGTGACTGCAGCGAGCAGATGTATGTGGTGGGCCTGTGACAGGTGTGGATGTCAGTGTCAGGAGCTGAGCTAAGCTGAGCTGGAGAGAGTAGAACTGCCAGGTGTCTGCGTTGCTGATTAAGATAACAAAAAATAGTGAGAGTAACAGTGCAGCTTTTCCTTGCTCACTGAGATGGCATAGACGGGAGACTAAACTACACAAAGCTCTGACTTCCCCTTCCACTGTCCCCCATGGTATGAACAGGTTGGGGGTCAAGCGAATCAGCATGGATGTCGGAAGGCTTCTCACTGCCAAGGGGAGGAGGAAAAGGAGAAAGGGCTAGGTGGAAAAGCACTGAGCACTGAGTCAGAGTGAAGAGAAAGGGCTCCTCTTTCTCACCTCCCTGATAAGGAAGTCTCTACACAGGTGCCTGAGGAAGGAATCCATCAAAAGCTCCCCATAAAGAGATGCCTGAATGAAGTCATTTGATGAGAGTGCAGGTGTACTAGGAGCATGGCGGGCCAGACCCTCCAGAATCCTTGACTGCAACTCCTTTCAGAGACTGCAATGCACTGGCTGTGCATCAAGAAGTCTGGTGTGGGGAGGGCAGCTTTCTATGGAAGGCCTGCCAGGTAGAGCCTTTGTAATTATTTATTTTCAGGTCTGACAATCACATATGGTGTTTTTGGCAGGGAACCAGATCCTCAGTTGGGTCTTGGAGGACCTCACATGTGTCTTATTAAGGAACTTGGACTTTAAATGGTTCATCAAGTTTGCATAGAAAGATTACCCCAGCAACAGTAGAGAGTATGAATGCACAAAACATTTGGAAAAGGAATGACTCAAATTAGGGCCTTAAGAGAGTCTTATAATAATCCAAAATAAATTAGAGGCTTGGGATAAGGTATGGATTGTGACTTGACTGGTTGCCTTCATAATCCCCTCTACTGCTGCTGTTATAGAGGTTGAGAGCTAAAATATTCAATTCCCAAGATTCCTTTTTAGCAAGTATGGATCATATGACATAATTCTTGCCAGTAATATATGTAAGAAAAGCTGTTTATAGTTTATAGCTTCCAATAAAGTGTTGGGCATGTCCCAGCCAGAAGACAGTCATGCCCTTCAGAGGTTTCCTGTCTTGCCCAGGCCCAGTGTGAAGCACCTGAACATACAGGATCTTCCTAGTCCTTCAGGATGAAGCCACAGGCAGTGACTGTTAGAACAAGAAATCTAATAAAAAGAAGCCTATAAACCAACATCATGTTACATGAGTAAGCTCTGTCTTTCTATTGCATGCTACTGACAATATGATGGTAGAAATAGGAAAAGAGAAGCGCTTGGGGCAACTTAATGAATGATGGTTTCTTCATTAAGATGGACACCCGAAAGGGGATGATTTCGATATATCTGAGATGGAAATACAAATGGAGATGGCCAGCTCGCATTTGAACAGATATCTACTGCTCAGGGCTAAGACTGGTGGGCAACACAGATTGGCAGCATATAAACTAGAAGTCATAGTTGAAGCTGTGAGAATACTTGAGTGTTGAATGATAAGGATATAAGGCCAAGCAGAAAACTGAAGAAAAGAAGGCCAGAAGACAACAAAACTGGATGGAAACTGTATAGTGAATTTCAGACAAATTAAGGAAATACAGCAGGTGATGGTGTCTGTGAAGCCATAGTAGACTCCAATTTCAGGAAAGGGTGAATGCTGCCCAGTATTACAGACTGGCCACTTCGGTCTATTCTGTGCATTCTGTTTCAGTGAACTGGTGGTGGCAGAAGCCACATTTCCAAATCCAAGTGTCCAGGGCAGTGTAGATGGTTCTCTGTTCTTTGATCCAAAGAGTAATCCCTTCTGGGGAAGCAAAAAATGGCTGGTCCTAACATAGCAGGATATTCTTTCTCTTCATCAAGGTGGTTGGAGAAGCAAGAAAAGGGTCTTTCCTTAGAGAGGGTGAGTGGGAGTTAAGCTTTATTGCTCGTGTTTGAGTAAACTCCTAGTCTGGTCTCTCAATCTTTACAATTTGTTTAAATTTTTGCAAAGGCAGCCACAGCATCTTAGAAAGAAATGTCTTTAAAATACTATGTTAAGTTTAGGCATTAATATTGTCGAATGATCGCATTAAATAATTTTAAAATGATAGTTTAATGATCAGAGTTTAAAGAATTTGCATTGGACAATTGTTGAAATGAATCATTTAAAACTGTTCACAACTCACTTTTTCAGAATCTCTAAAAGACATAAAGCAACATATCTTTTCATAGGTTTCAATAATTCTTAAATACTACCTTTATTTACATAGAATTATATTTCCTATTGTGCTTTTGTTTCTTTACTCAAATTATTCATAAAGCTTTCAATAAAACAACGTTTATGATCTGAATATAATTTTATCCCCTGCATTCTGGAAGGATGCTGTCGGTTTTTACAGAACGTCTTATAAAATGAATGACAAGATAATTGTGTGATTAGCACATGGATGGTTAATGACTGGGAAAATGGGTCTAACATAAAGAAACTCGTTAAAATATATTGGATGGCAGGATCTAGCAAACAAATGAGTTAAAACAACAGCTCGGTGGTATCTAATTAACCCTAGAAAACCTTAGGGAGATAAATATATATATTTTTAATTTCCCTAGATCATAAACTAAAAAAATAATATTTGCTTTTAAAGCCATCAGGAAGCTCCTCCCTTCTCTTCTCGGTTCATAAAAGTTCTATAGTCTGTCCCAACTCTTGGTACTTACCAGGCTTTTATAGCAAATGAGAAAATAGTAAAGTTAATGCCCCTTAACAGGAATTTCATTTGCACCGGTTTCATTCTGAGTATGACAAATTCATTCAATACAACTCAATCTTTACACAAAAATGATTTAGGATGGACTATTAGATTTGTACAGTATTTGAACTTTCCCTTTCAGCTATGAGGAAATCATCATGTCTTTAGTGATAAAGACTCTTTAAAACAACTGAATTTCAATACAAAGAATAACCTCAAAGGTTGAAGATTAATTTGTTATAAAATGTCTCCATCTTCTCCTGCTCATACCTATCCAATGGCATCTTTTTATTCCTGTTTCTTTAATTTCTTTCCCTTGAAGGTTTCTCACTCTGTAGCTTTCCTGCTGGAAGATGCACTTTCCCTTTCTGCCCTAAAGGACGAATTACTTCTAAGTGAGTTAACTTTGCCATAACAGTTCCCCGCCCTCCTCCCCTGCCCCCCTCCCCCCGCCTCCTCCCACCCGCCCCCGCCCGTTAGTGTGTGCCATATGCATTGTATGCTAAAATAGGTAGTGGGGAATTATTTTTTCCTTTAAAAAGTGTGGGGGGTCTCAGATTCTACCCTTTGATCTTTAAAATCCTTGGATAATGTACTGGGCAGTTAAGAGTGAGCATAGACTGTCAAAAAACATTACAGTAACACATTGTATGCCTGTCTCAAAATATCACATGCACTTCATAAATATATACAGCTATTATGAACCCATAATAATTAGAAATTAAAAATTGAAAAAGGAAAGAAATAACAGAACACCCTAACAGAGGAAGTAATATCATTTAAAACATCTATATCTCCATTTATTCTGGATGCACCAGACTAAATATTCAAATTTTTAACAACAAAATTAAATATCAAACACATTGCCTATAAAAGTGAAATATTCTTCTTTTAGCCTATTCCCCTGGCAGGATACTCATGCATATTTTAAATACATATAAGGGGTTGGGGGTGGTCCGAGGCACAGCTACACCAGTGTAATTTAGTGAATCTACCATCCTAAAATCTTCCCTGAAGAGGGAAATGGAATTTAGTTAAATGTTGAAATTTTTTTGTTTAATTATAATGGCAACATACTTGACTCCAAATCTCTCTTTAAAGAGCTTCAGAAAGTCAATCAAAATTGTTTTTTGAGTTTTTATATATTTTTTAAATGTTATGGCTTCTGTAGAGGTTCTGTGGCTTTCTATGCTATGAATGAATAACAATTATATTTTTCATCCAAAGAGATGAAATATTTACATAACTGAATTTTAGTATATCCTATGCACTTGGGCCTGTTTGTATTTAAACCCAGACACCATCCCAACAGTTTGGTAGTTTGAAAATAAACCATAATATATTGTTCTGAATAAAATTACATGAATATTACATGAATTTGAGTCATTTTATTAGTAGACTATATTATAAAGGATTCCTTAATATTCAGATATATAATAAGCGATTGGACAGAGAAAAGCATTATATTGAATATGTTTTCCCCTTTATTGAAAATCATTTCTCAAGCTGCAAAAACAGTCGGAAGGGCCCGAAATCCACATTAGTATGTTCATTTGGTGACATTGTTTCGGAGCAGTACAAGTAAAACCTTTTAAGAATGTCATTTCATGGATTACTAGTTTTAGGTCAAAAATAGATGGCATGTGTCTTTATATAACCTATAGAATCATTAATCAGTAATGTAATTATGCTCTTCACTGTATGCCTTCATCAGTTCTGAAAGTGAATACATTGTTCACATGAATTTTGAGACTTACATGGGTATCATGAGTGGCTGGCAATGTTAAAATAAAACAAATTGTGTTATTTCAGCCATACAATAACAAACATCTTTCACACTTTGAGAAATTAGGGAGTGAATGCTATTGAAAGCAATTCGCAATCAGAAGATGGCTATGTAACTTAGAGATTGTTTTTAATATAATTGCAACCCATTACTGCTAAATAATTTAGGAGAAATGTGGACATGACGTGCATGGTCTAAGAGGCTTGGAGGAATAGCAGCTTTTAAAGAATTCAATATAATCAGCTAACAATCAATAACCAAACTTTAGGAGCACCTGCTCAAAGGCTCTGTGTTCATTTCGAAAGGGAGCAGCCTTATAAACACGCACCGTGACATAGCTGTCAATCTTTTTAAAAGTCTGAGCCGCTGTTCTCTTCCCTTCTCAGCAGCAATTTCAAGCTGTCTCCCAATCTTATCAAGCCTTTGATCTTCAAACTGGACTTTTTTAACTTAGATATTTCATTTAGCAGGTCCTGCGTAAGCCCCACCTCTTCTGAGAAGCCGTCCTCAATCCTCCATCTATGGGCATGTTGTTTCTTCTAAATGACACTCTACATCCCACCACCAGGGCCATTCCACATCATTCTCTAATTATCTTTTTTATCTGCTTGTATCTTGAAGTAGATAATAAGTTCTATAAATGAAGGGGGAGTATGTCGATCTTATTTATTCTTGTTCATTTTATCCTCCAAAATGAATTTATCTTCTGCATCTAGCAAAGGCCATGAAATAAAACAGATGCTAGAAATACTTGAATTAAAGTAAACTTAAAAAGTATACAGTTGGCTGGGTGCGGTGGCTCACGCCTGTAATCCCAGCATTTTGGGAGGCTGAGGTGGGTGGATTACCTGAGGTCAGGAGTTCGAGACCAGCCTGGTTAACATGGTGAAACCCTGTTTCTACTAAAAATTAAAAAAAAAAACAAAACTGGGGGTGGTGGTGGGCACCTGTAATCCCAGCTACTGGGGAGGCTGAGGCAGGAGAATTGCTTGAACTCAGGAAGTTGAGGTTTCAGCGAGCCATGATTATGTCACTGCACTCCAGCCTGGGCAGCAAGAGCAAAACTCCATCTCAAAAAAAAAAAAAAAAAAAAAAAAAAAAAAAGTATACAATCTAGGCTGTGAGAAAAGGCATGCAGAATGTTAAATAAAACCTGATAGGATACGATCACTGTCAAGAAAAGTTAATACAAAAATTAAGAGATCAGGGTGAGGGCAAAGGTCACCCAAATGCCAACTGGAGAAGGCATTAAGGAAGACAAAGATGAGATTGCTGCTAAACAGCGAAGAGTACAGGGTTAGCATAGAAAACACGAAGTAGAATCAAAGCTGCAATTCCTGTAAGCTTGTTAGGGAAGCCACATTTACCTGTTGTCTCTGTTCACTGTTTTACTGGATGAAGAATGAAAAGATAAATGAACAGCTGCCTCATACCAATGCCAGTGCCTACTATAGTACCAGCAATCAATATTTTAATTAGTTCATTCGAGTTATAGTGATTAAAGTAATCAAAGTATAGGGTTGTAATTTATTCAGTAACTTAACAAATATTCTCCTAAAATTTAGGAAGAGAATGACCAAAGGTGAACAGGCACAAGAAGAACTTTGGAACAGCTAGACCAAAGAGCCCGGAGAAAAGAAGTTTGGATAAATAGGTAGGCACCAGGTCACAGAGGACCACGTTAAATATTTTGGATTTATTCTTAGAGCAATGGAAAATATTGAAGGGTTTCAACTGGGAAAAATTACATAATATATATGTGATAAGGATACGTCACATGGCTCACAACGTGGGGAGTGGATCTGAGACCAGTTAGGAGGTGGATTTTGCTCTGTCAAGAGACAATAGTGATTTGTATAGTTCAGATAGAGTGGGAAGGAAAAGAAGTGGAAACAAATCAGTAAATATGCTATTGAGCTGACAGGATTTGAAAAAGAACTACATGCGAGGGAGAAAGAAGAAAATATCCACGACTTCCAGATTTCTAGCTTTGGCAACAGAGTAGGTGAGAATTTACCAAGACAGAGGGGACATTGAAAGATGACTAACTTGAGGTGGTAGATACGGAATTTGTTTTGGGTGTATTGAGTCTGAGAGGCTCATGGGACATGTAAGAAAAAATTTACATTTTGCAAATGGATACATGGCTTTAGAACTGAGAAGAGCAGTGTGAGACAGAGAAATGGTGACGTATGTGATTACCAAAGAAATGGAAGTGGTGATGATGTAGAATACTGAGGATCTCCAGAGAAGACATCCATAGTGAACAGAAAAATGCAGTCCTGAAGAGGATGCTGAGGTGGAGAGGCTGAAGAAGGGGTGGAAGAACAAGAGATTGTTTCAGAAAGAAAGAAGCACCTAAACTTAATAAAAAGACGGAGAGTATATAAGATAAGAACAAGCAATATCTGTCTGCTTTGAGACAAAGAAAGATGAACACAGATACACCTACACTTACAAAAAATGCTAGATAAACAGCACATTATTGACTTTTTTTGAACCCACTCAGAAAACTGTGATTGTAGTACAACCATGCAGCTGGGAATATGAGGAGAGATGGGTGCCTGCTGAAAGAAACAGGACTGTAACAAGAAAAACCTGGAATTCTATTAAAAAATTTTTCCACAAACTGAGAGGGATCTGAGAGACCAAATAATGACTCAGACAAGTCCACCTTGGCGAGTAGATGAGTTTATTTGGATTTACGTATGAGGCATTCCCAGATGGCAGCAGGATAGCTGCAGAGGTCTATGCCGCCTTTTCTTTTTAAACCACTTTTAAGCTGATTTTCTAGCTGTTTGCCTACTGCATTTAAACAATGAGACTGCTTTTCTTGGTAGTTGCTCAGACACTCTCTGGGGTGTTTCAGTTTTTAGAAACACCTGCTCCTCCTCTGAGTCCCTTGGCGTTGGCTGAGTGCCTGGCCTTCAAGGTTCAGGCAGCAGGCAAAGACCCTTGACTGAACAGGTGGGAGACCCGTCAATTATGAGGACCTAAACATTTACTTACCATGGGCAAATGTCAATGGATGCATATAAGCTGAGACTCTTTAATGGTTTCTAAATGCCAAGACTGTGTAGCTCCAGGGACTGCAGGTCTTGTGCGGGCGTGACATTCTCTCTCAGACTTTTCTTCCACACACCTCACAAGGTTCAGACAGAGAAGATGAAGTTAGTCTGAGGCTGGCACCTTGCTTTCCATACCTGAGTCCTGGCCACATGAAAGCTTAAGAAAAAAAGACACAGTCATGGCCAAGCACACAATCTACTTACCTCTGTTTCTATCCATCTACATAAAGTGTCTGGCTTTCAGCAGACATATGAAATTCAAGAAAAAATAAAATTTTCCCCAAAAAGAAATCATTAACACTAGATATGAACATGACACAAACAATACACCAGGCAAGGATCACACAGGACATTTAAAACAATAACATTTGAAAAGCTGTAGCAAAACAGAGACAACATGCAAGACCATGTGGATAATTTCAGTAGAGAGGTAGAAATTAAAAGAATTAAATGTAAATGCCATAAATAAAAAAACACAGTGACAAAGATTAAAAATGACTTTGATGGGCTAATTTGTAGATTTCACACAGTAGAGAAAATAGTCAGTGAAATTGAGTATGGGTCAATAGAAATTACTGACACTGAAAAGAAAAATAAATCACAATAAAAAAGGAAAACAATGAAACATTCAAGAGCTGTGGAACAACATCAAATGATTTAACACATGTATAATTGAAATTTTAGAATAAGAATAGAAAGAGACTATAGCAAAATTAAGTACTGGGAGAAGTATGACTGAGGTTTTTTCTTTTTCAAAATTAAGAATAGATACTAAACCACAGATCCAAGAAACCCAGTAAACAACAAACCAGTTACACACACACACACACACCACGCATTGCTAAGTGCATATCATATTCCAAGTGCTAAAATCCAAAGAAATGGAACAATTTGAAGGTAGCCAGAGAATAAAAGATGCATTAACTGAAGAGTAACAAGAACGCAATTATCGGAGGCTTCTCATCAGAAACCATGCTAGCAAGAAAAAACACAATTATATCTTGAAAGTGATGCAAGAAAATTAAATCTACCCAGAATTCTATATCAAGCAAAAATATCCTTAAAAATTGCAGGAGAAATAAAGACTTCTTCAGACAAATAGGAATAAATTGCTGACAGAACTGCAATACAAAAAATATTTGTGGGGGTTCTTCAAGGTTAAAAATTAGAATAGAAATTTGGATCTTCACAAAGCAGTAAAAAACCCTGAAAAGAGATAAATAAATATAAAATAAAATGTATTTTATTCTTACATTTTCCAACTTTCTTAAGGTATAATAGCCAAGTAAAATTGTATGTAAGTATGGTGTACAATGTGATGTTTTGATAGATGAATACAATTGTGAAATGATTACCATAATCAAGGTAATTATCACATCCACTGCCTCACATAGTTATATTGTGTGTGTGTTTGTGTGTCATGAGACCACTCAAATCCAAACTTTTTGCAATTTTTAAGTATAATAAAAAACGACATTATAACTAATGTTTACCATGCTGTACAACAGATCCCTAGAAATTATTCCTCCTGGTTAATTCAAACCCTGTACCTTTTGGACAGCATTTCCCCATTTATCATCCTTTCACCCCTGGAAGTCACCATTCTATTCTCTGCTTCTAAGAATTCAAGTATTTGCATTCCATATGGTAGTGAGATTCTGCAGTATATGTCTTTCTATGCCTAGCGTATTTCACTTACCATAATGTCCTCCAGGTTCATGCAAGTTGCTGCAAATGACAAAGTTTCCCTTTTTAAAAGTAGACTAGTATTCCAATGAATATATACAATGCTCAATAACCCAAAAAAGGCCAAAAAAGGAGAAAATGGAAAGGAAGACAAGTGTAACCATTAGAAAATGGCAAAATCTTAGACTGTAATCCAACCATATCAATAATTACCCTAAATCTGAAGATCTAAACATATATGTTAAGTGACAGAGACTGTGTGATTAGATGTGAAAAAGGAGGATCAAAGTGTATGCTATCTACAAGAAATCCACTTTAAGTGCAAAGATATAATTAGATTAAAAAAGAACAGATGCATGAGTACTAGCTGACACGGGTTTTCTTTTTGAGATGATAAAAAGTTCTGAAATTACATAGTGATGATGGTTGCAAGTGTCTGTGAATATATGAAAACTCATTGAATTATACACTTTAAAGGATAAGTGCTACGTGTGAATTCGATCTCAGTAAAGCCACTATAAGGTAAAGTCATAGCCAAAAAAGTGAAAGAATAAAGACTGATACACCACTAAAACGTTAATACTCTTCAAAAAAGGTAAAGTGTTATATTAATTTTAGAAAAGTTGAAAATAGAATATTACATAAAGTGATAAATGATCCAAAAATATATCAGAATCCTAAATGTATGTACATATAAAAATAGAGCTTCAAAATACATGAAGCTAAAACCGATATATTTGGAAAGAGAAACAGATAAATCTATAATTATAGTAACAACTTAATAACACTCCTTTCTGCAATAAATATACAGAAAAATCAGTAAGGATATGGGTCACGTGAACAATATTTCCAACCAATAATGTCTAATAGACATTTATAGAACATTCTAAGGAGAGTAGAATGTACCTTCTTTTTAATGAAACATTCAAGAAGGCTGACCAAATTCTGGGTCATGAAAGAAACATTAACAACTTTAAAAGTACAGAGATTGTATAAAGTGAGTTCTAAAACAATAACAGATCTAAAATATAAATTGAGAACATAAAGCTATCTGGTAAATTCCCCCAGATATCTGGAAATTAAAAAATACACTTTTAAATAACCTAGGGATTAAAGAAGATTTTTGAGGTAAGCTAAAAATCTCCATTGTTCTTAGCTACATTTTTAACTCCAGAAATTTCTAAATATATGATCTAGATTGGGATCGGTAGAGTAATGACTGGCAGGTGCAGAAGTTAAGAATATGTGTTTTGGCTGTGAATAACGGTGTGTTGGAAGCTAGATGGATTCAGGTAATTTAAGTATCTAGTTTTGTTGCATTTTTAAAATATCCATGAACTGTGCATATTTGAATGTCTGCATGTGACAGTCACAAGAGGGAGAGTTTAAAGATAGTAAGGGAGTGGACAGTACAAATAAATAACAGTAGGTTTCAAAGAAGGCTGAAGAAAATGGCATTCAGAGATCAATAAAACGAGAGAAAGAAAAGGAGAGTCGATTCAAGCAGGGATGTAAATTTGTCATCAGTAAGTTGAAGAGATTCTTGTCTGACAGGAGCTGCTGTCCTTGCTGCACTGTTACCTTGGGTCATGCAATCCTGGCGAAGTCAGTCTCCATTTGCTTCCATTTTCTTCTCTGAAAATGGAGATACTTACAACAATCCTAAGAGTTTTTGTATCAAAACAAAACAATACAAGAAGATTGTTTTTAAGGTGACTAAAAATTAAAAACCTTAACACAGTGTTTGCGCATGATAGAAAATGAATGTGTACTATAGACGATAGATATATACCACCAGACTTGAAATGTTAGTGTTGGAGCCAACACCAAACTGTGTGTGTGCAGCCAACACCACCAGTGTCACTGCACGCACAGCTGCCAGCAGGCCCTCCACCCCAGCTGCATTGCCGCTGACACCATCGTGAACGACCTTAGGGCGGCAGGCCCTCTGGCACCCGCCAGCACCCCACTGCCGCTGACAAGTGTGCACCTCCCTGGAGCTGCTGCTACCGCTGCTCCTGGCACGTGCAAACATGGGCGGATCCCATCGTCACCGCACTGTGAAACGCTTTGGCTGACACCACCCTTTGGAGTGGAGTGACCAGCAGTCAGGGAGCACCTCAGCCACACCCAGCACAGTAGACTCCTAAACTGGAGGAGCCAGAGAACAAAGTCAGGGCCCAATACAAGTCCCCAGAGTTAGAGCCCACAGTCCAGGAATTGGGAGCTAAGAGCTGACCCCCAAAAATCTTCCAGGAATGAAATCATTCGGCTGAATCCATCTTATATCACAATCAAACCCTCAAGGTCTTCAAGTAGGAAACAAAAACAAGAATAAAAAACATCCAAAGGTCAGCAACCTCAAAGATTGAAGGAACATAAGCCCACAAAAATGAGAAAGAACCGGTGCAAGAACCTGATGACTCAAAAACTAGAGGGTCTTCTTTCCTCCAAATGACCACATCATCTCCCCTGCAAGGGTTCTGAACCAGGCTGAGATGGTTCAGATGACAGAAATAGGATTCAGAATATAGATAGAAATGAAGATCTTTGAGCTACTGGAGTACGTTGAAACCCAATCCAAGGAAATGTTAGTTTTTTACACTTTAAAGACAGCTTGCTACCATTTTATAGATAAAAGAATTTAAGTACAGAACAGATATGTGATTTGCCAAAATCACTCAGCTGCAGTGTGCAAAATCTAGGCCAAAGTGCATATATGCCAACTGCCTTTGCTTCTCTCTCTACTGCAGACTTCCTTCTGCAAGCTCCCCATACCTGTTTGCTCCCAGCTGTATAATAGAGTGTCTCATACACACTTTGTAAAAAATCAGACCTTTATTTAAAATGACTATTTTCCTGTTAGAAATATGGTAGATTTTAATTAATACAAGAAATGAAAGAGTTCTAGGCTGGTATAGTGATGGATGTAATACATGTGACTCATTCAGTGATCTAAGAGCCAGCACAATAATTGTCCATATTTTAATTATAATCATATTGAAAAGTCACTCTGGGGAAGGGATGAATCAAAAAAAAAAAAAAAGAAATTTTGAAGCAAGATGACATCAAAATCAAGTTCTAAATGCAACTCCCCAAGAATCCAAAGATCTGGTTCTTTCTTTACATTTTAGTTTCCAGTTTAAGATGCCTCACTTCCCCCTTGCTCCAGAATACCCATGCAACAGAGAACATATGGCACAGAATACGATATACTGTGGCTTCAGTGTTGATCGTATGAATCACACTGTCTCATTATAAACTATTAAGTGAATGGGTGCATCCCTGTGATAGGTAAGAGTTGTGTCCTTTGAAACCAAGATCCTAAAGTATTTTCTGTGCGAAAGCATTTTGGTAATTCCCAACCCCCCCAAATCAATCAGATGAGTAAAAACCAAAACAAAAATAAATACATGCCACAAACTGTAGAAACTGAAAATACTCTATTTTAACCTATCTTTGGCTCTCAGTTGGAATGGGACTACTGGTGGTATTTAGAAGAGAATGGCTCAGCAGTAAGCCACAGACACTGGCTCATGCATCTGTGTATGCTGCTTCTAGAATAGGCAGCAGGGAGCTAAGTGGAAAGGACGAGATACACCAGGAAATAATCAGGTGGGTCCAATACCCAGCCCCAGGCACACACCTGCCAGCAAGCGGAAATGTTCATACAATGTGCGAGGGAGGAAATCAAGAGGAATGGCTGAATTTTTCATGACTGCAGAATCTGCTGAGGAATTCTGTCTGACCTTTGCAATGTCTGATTCTCATCTCTAAAGCAAATTTTATTAACTGCCAAGCCAACCTCCAAAATTCTCTCACGGAAGAAAAGTTATATTGTGGACACGCTCAACCAACTAATTCATGATTCTGTCCATTCAGCAAAAGAAATTTTACTTAATTTTATCAGATTGCCAGGCTTTCTTAAGCCCCGATTTCTGTGTATATTTTAGGTCTACAAAATTCTTTAACTCAAAGGCAAGCCCTTATCAATAAATTAAGGTCAGAGGTTACTTCTTAATATTCCAGCTACTCTGTACAATAAGGTTAATATATTATATTCTTCATTTTTTTCTTTCTTTACTGGAAAAATAATGGCCCACAAGTTACCCTGAATTGCAAACCTCTTCATTGAACCATATGAAGCTGTTTCTGGAGATTTCATTGTAGAAATTAGAATATCAAGGTTGAGGGATACAAATTTCCAGGGAGGG